>NC_000011.10:34302424-34453939 GCF_000001405.40 Homo sapiens | reverse complement strand
AGGTAACACATACCTTATAATGGAATTTGCAATAAACTGCCTCCCCATTTGCATTAACCAGCTTGAAAGTATGTGATCCATATCCATTCATGTGGCGATGTCCATCTGGAATCCCCCGATCACTGAACAAGAAAGAAACCTAAAGAACAGAAATATAAAGCCTAAAATGTTTTCATTTAAATCAAAACATCCTTGATTTTTAAGATATTCCTTAGTTTCCAGAAAGTCCCTTAATGACATAAAACATACTAGCCAATTTCCCATGGGAAGGGTTACCATTATTATTTCACTTGTAGAAAATAACAAACAGAAAAATTTTAAATCAAAATGATATGCAAATCACTAATACTATGACTCAAAATTCTATGAAGGAAAGCCAAAACAACCTGAAAACTGGCCTAATTTGTTATTCAAAATTTATTTGCATAGCAAATTTGTTTGGTACTACTTTCCCCCCACTTCCTTAATACAGAGCTTTACCTTACACTACAGACTTTCATCCTTACTACTGCTAAATATCAACTGACAATGTTGCTAGCTATCTATCATCATCATCATCATCATTTAAGGCCGATGAATGGGGGATGATTAGTAAAGCCAGTTACTACAAAACTCTTCACGATCAAGAAATCTGAGGAAGCTGATTCCAATAAAATAGCCAAAACTGGAGAGACACTTTATGAAGAGGCATAATTAAACACTGCATCCCAGGTGATATAATACAATGGCAAAAAAGGGTTCATACCTGATGCAGAGACTCAGGACGTAGGCTCCAGAAGTCCCAGACCATGTCCGGATCCTTCAGATGTGTCTGAGGATTTCTCTTTTGGCTGTGGATAAAAGATGGAAACTAAATAGAAAAAAGAGAGAAAAAAATCCAAAAACTAAGTTTACAGGAATTATGGTGTCTTTCATTATATATGCCTATTACTAGGTTTATGGATTATAATTCTAAATACAATCCTAGAATTTTAAACTGCCAAACCATAATATGAAATTTACTCAGCATAGACAACTAGCATCTAAGATACCCTAAAGTATTTCAAATATACTCAAAACTATAGTCTTTTCTTTTTTTTTTTTTTTAAGACAGGGTCTCACTCTGTCACCCAGGCTGATTGCAATGGCATGATCACAGCTCACTGCAGCTTTGACCTCCTGGGCTCAAGCAAATCTCCCACCTCAGCCTCCCAAGTAGCTGGGACTATAGGCATGAGCCACCACACTTGGCTAATTTTTGTATTTTTTTGCAGAGATATGGTTTTGCCATGTTGCCCAGGCTGGTCTCGAACTCATGGACTCCAGTGATCTGCCTGCCTTGGCCTCCCAAAGTGCTGGGATTTATAGTATTTCTTCACGGAAAAAATATACCCACCCTCCCGCATGCGCGCACGCACACACACCCCCTCCTGCTGACTCAGAGCATGTAGAGACACCCTCTGCTTGTTTCCAAAGTAAAGTCCCTCTTTTTACTAATCTTCGATGCTCTGCAAGGAAAACTAAACTCACTTCCCATTAAGTCAATCTGTCTTAAAATGACAAATCTAAGACCAATGGTAACTGTTCTTACTTTATCTTATTAAATACAGAAAAATGTGTTGAAAAAAGTAGTCCAGACAACTCGCATTCTTTTCTTTCTGCCTTTCCCACGGCTTCTCCTCAAATGCCAACCTATTTGAAATCAATTTAAGTCAACAAACATTTGTTGAGTGCAAAATACTCTATTACCTACCAATATGGGATCCCTGATGAAGAAAATGGGGGTGTTATTTCCAACGAGATCCCAGTTACCATCTTCTGTGTAAAATTTCACTGCAAACCCACGAGGGTCCCGAACTGTGTCAGCTGAACCCGATTCTCCAGCTACAATATTCAAATGGAAACAGGAAGCATAAGCCACAGCACTTTGCATCCAAGAAGCCTGGAGACATAAAGAAGCACCTGGATCCATCCTTTCTAATCCACTTCCAAGAACTAAATTAGGTATTTAAGTGCCCGGGTTATTATTTCTACCCACCAGCTAATTCAGTCCACAAATCAAACAAAATAATTAATTGAGAGCAATAAGAGAACACATGTAATAACAGCTGACAATGTCATTCATTTACCATAATAAGATAACTTTGTTCAAACAGGTAATTGAACTTTTAATTAAAATAAGGGAAGAAAATAATTATGAGGCTTAAAGTAGTGACAAACAGAATAAGTGAGTTGTCAAAATGATGAGGTTAACATTAAGAAAATGAGTTAAAATATTGGTTCTTAGTTCTTAATTTCATTTATTTTTACATTCCACAGTATTTTTAAAATGCAGAGACTGACACAGAAACGGAACTAGTGAAGCACTAGGTATGTTGAAATATAGTATGATAGATCTAATACTATCTCTGTAACGTGAGAAACATCACTTAGCCTCTCAAAAATAAAAAGAATCCCACTCTGCAAAGTAGATCTACAAATCAGAGATTATATCTGTAAAGCACCTAACCACAGTTGGCACAGAATTAATTCTCAATAAAGGTCAGCTGTAGGCATAGTTATTAAATAAGATTTCCACTCTATTCTTCTGTTAGAGGCAACCACTTTTAGGAAAGCTCTTTCCAAATGTCACAGAATTGCAG
The DNA here is from genome assembly GCF_000001405.40 of Homo sapiens. Classification (NCBI taxonomy): domain Eukaryota; kingdom Metazoa; phylum Chordata; class Mammalia; order Primates; family Hominidae; genus Homo; species Homo sapiens. The sequence goes on along the minus strand of NC_000011.10, from coordinate 34,451,318 downwards.
AGGTAGCCTCTGTGTAAGTGTGATTTCCTAAGACCTCAACAAACAGAAATACAAGTAACTTCCTATGTGTCTCCAAATATGTCTTCTACTGTAAAACCTTGACATAATTTGGAGAAGTGCTTGCTTCCTATTTTCTAATAACTTTTTCTTTAAGTTATAAACATCCCCAAAAGGTGAAGTTGAGTTAAGCCATACCAATCACGCCAATAAACCAACTTACCAACAGTGGAGAACCGAACTGCGATGGGAGTCTTCTTTCCAATATGCTCAAATACCTTTGCCTTGGAGTATTTGGTAATGTCATGTGTGACCTCAAAGTAGCCAAAGGCCCCTAACGAGAAAGACACAGAAATCCTTACCATGAGACCATTACTCAGACATTCAGGTCCTCAACAGGCACCTGGGTGACAAGAGAAAATGATGGTTAGCACCAGCCTTCTGGGAGCTTCCAGTATGTTGGAGGAAGGGGAAATGCCCAAACACAAAATAAAGAGGGTGAAATGCAAAGCCCTATTCTATCATTCAGTGCTAAGTCGAATGCCACATAGCTGGAGCCAAGAGAAGGAGGTGAGTGAGGCTAGAAGTCGTCAAGGTTGGCCCAAGGACACAGGGTCTCAGAGGGGCCTGAAGTACAGGTAGGACCTATGAGAGAAAGTGAAGAACAGAGAGAAGAGGAGATGAAAACATAAGAGAAAGAATCTTTTCAACACTTAGCAACGATGATACAAAGCAAGCAATAAACTAAACAAGTCAAGATGGAAAAATACACACAAACCACTGGAGAAGATGGGGAGAAACCTTATCCAGGAAGAAGAGATGAAGAAATGCAGAAGTCCTAACTGGAAGTCCAAGTCAGCAAGCTAAGAGAAAAACTTCCTTTCTGTGGAGCTCTTTTTCCAACTGAGTTTTTCACTTTCTTTCAAATACCACCCCCATCTTTTGTGTCTGATATAACAGCGATAAAGAAAGTTTTACAGAAATTGTTGGAAAAAAGGAAAGGAAAAATCATCACAAACCCACCACCCTAACATAACTACCCCAAATTTTGCAGCTCATTCCAGTAATTACCCAGTAAGTACATCATTTAAACTTAGTTGCAATTGCAGTGCATGTGTCTATGTCTGTATTTCTGTACAGCAGGTCCTCAAACAACATTGTTTTGTTCAACGTTGTTTCATTATAACGTTGATGAGAAAAAAATCTATTCCTAGCTGAGGCCACCATCTGTGTGGAGTCTGCATGTTCTCCCCATGTCTAGATAGGTTTTCTCCTGGTACTCCAGCTTCCCCCCACATCCCAAAGATGTGCGTGTTAGGTGAACTGGCATGTCTGAATGGTCCCAGTGTGAGTCCACCCTGCAATGGACAGCATCCTGTCCAGGGCTGGCTCTTGCCTTGTACCCCAACCTGCCAGGACAGGCTCTGGCCTCCCACCACCTTGAACTGGAATAAGCTAGTAAATAACTATCTTATTTTACTAATCTTTCTTAAAGGTATGTATGGCTCACATTTATTTCAATGTTTAATATAAGAGGTATTTTGAGTCTCTATTTAGAAGTTTGATGATGTTTTATCAATCAGAAATATGCCATAGGAACTTAACTCTTGCTTACGTCAATTAGCCTATCATAAAATTGGTTTCATTACATGTCGTTTAAAGTCAAAGTTTCCAAGAACCTATTGATGTTAAGTGAGGACTTATTGTATTTTTATTCCTTCAATGATGGGAGAAATGGAAGACTGCTATTTTTAAAAGAAACTATTTTATATATAATGTTTAACCTGAGGAAATAACCATCATTTATTTACTAATTTCCCTACTGCTGGATGTTTTTCCTTTCTCCCACAAATGGAGATTTGACACTTGTGTTAAAGGTCTTCCAATCCTTTGGGAAATAACACTTGACCCAGGTGCTGTGAAACAATCTTTTTACAGCAAATAAACACAGCACTTACCTGCTCCTTTAGCATGCACAACTCTCTCAGGAATTCTCTCTCGGTCAAAATGAGCCATTTCATCAGTGAAAACCACATCCTGAACAAGAAGGGGCCCACGGGGCCCTACTGTAATAACATTAAGTTTGTCTCCTACTGGGTTACCAGCTCCAGTGGTCAGGACATCAGCTTTCTACAGGAACACAGAAAGAAAGTGCAGGAGAGTTAGCACAATCAAACCTTTCATTTACACTGTCACGGGTACATAGCTTTGCAATGTTTATACCATCTGCCCTCTTTTTTAATTTCCTGTGTCCAAAGTACTAAAATCTGACAGGATGGGCCATTGCCTGAAACTTTTAGTGATGCCCCAGAAACCCTTGACAAATCTCAACACTAATCTGCTAAGAAACTTGCTCTGAAGAGCAGAAAGATGATTTTGGAGCCTGAAAATGTGCTCAGCACCTGCTCCAGAGAAAGCCACTGGGTTCTGCAAAGCTCCCAGTCAGAGAGGTGCCCAAAAGCGTCCTACAAGCTTAACAGTGAAATGTCCAATCCAGCAATGAGAAGACGGTCTCCAGGGAAGCTGTGCTGGTCAATACTTTACTCAGAACTTACAAACGCTTTATTACTGCCACGATCTTCAAGTGCGCTACCTTGTTTAGTGCATCTCAAGAAATGTACACCAGCTATTTGCAACATCTCTTTTCAATTAAAAAAAAAAAGTCAATGGCTTTCACTGTCACTAAAAGTAAACTGTTACTGGTAAGGTGGATTATAGTATTAATGTTTTAAAGATAGCAAATGTCTCTGAAATGGGATAGGTTATTTTACTGTAATAAATAATTAATTTTAATCCACCTGATTCTCCAATTTCAGTTACATCAGAAGACACTCAGCTGTCCCTCCTCTAGGGTTAGAGCGGCATTCTTCTAGCCCCACATGATCCTGGAAGCTCATAGCTTCATCTAGTTCCATGGTCAGAGAATACTTTTGACCACAGACAACTGCCTCTGCAGTGTCTTCCCCGGGTCACTGGAAATCAGGAGAGACACGTAAGTGACGCAAAGCTACGCCACCTCCACCTGGGAGAGGAACTCAACGCTGTCTATGACAAAACTCAACAGACCAACTTCACACACAGAGAAAAGCACTATTTTTAGTATTTCCACACACCTAGAGTGGAGTCTGTAGTTTTACTCCCCATGCATGTCTGTCCTGTACATTAAAATAAATTCCTGCCTCTTCTCTAGAAGGCAATACGGTGGGGAGTAGGCACTTACAAAACCACAAAAGATCTGTGAGCTGTTTGAAAAAAGATATTGAATAAAGGAGACCGTGCAATTTGCAAAACTAATAAACAAGACCCTCTCACACACTAGTAAATGCCCTTGCCACTAGAGTTATATCTTCATCCAAGTAGGAAGAGGCCAACATGGCAGCAGGGAGAAACTATGAGTGCCAGCACTAGAGCCTGGGTCCAACTTCCAGTTCTACCAATTACCAGCTATGTAGCTGCTGGTAAGTTACTTATTTATGAGTCTCCATTTTCATCTGCAAAATAGAATAATAAGTACCTCCTAAGGTTAACACATGAATTAAAAGAGTTAAATGTAAAATGCAAGCCACACATTCAACACATATATGCTGTCACTTCACTGGCTGTGAGAACATGACCTCGCAGCAGAAGGAGCAAAGCATTTGAAGTTTTATTTTTCTAGTAATCATGACAGATGCATACTCCTCCATCCACACTCTCTCACTCTACCATCTCTGTCCCTAAACCCATCTAGCAAAGCCCCTTCTAAACTGTCACAGTTTAAGGGTCCAATCAACACTTACCACCCAGTCACATCACTCTTTTGAAGATACATATGTTGCTAATACGTGTGACCCTCTGTGACGTGCTAATACGTGTTACCCTCTGTAGGTTTATTTTTAATTTAAAGTAGAAAATGAACCAGAAAAAAAATTTCTACTTTCTAAAGTAGAAAATGAACCAGAAAAAGAGCAATTTCACCTTTAGTTTAAACCTAAAGCCTTGGTTTTCAACCTTGGCAATGCACTAAAATCACCTGAGGAGCTTTTTAAAGCCTCCTGATGCCTGGGCCATCCCCCCTAGAGATGTCTGATAGAAGTGCCCTGGGTGAGGCCTGGGCTATTTTTAAATGACTCCTGTTCAAGCTAGGATTGAAAACCACTAACCTAGAACTATTGGGTGATAACAAAGTTAAAATAATTAGAGAGCCAGAGCAAACCAAATCTGTTCACTCTTTAAATGCTCTTTTCAACTTACAAACAAGGTATTTAAGGAAGCCTTTAAAAAATAAAGGGACATCCAGGCTGGGCGCGGTGGCTCACACCTGTAATCCCAACACTTCGGGAGGCTGCAGCAGGTGGATCACCTGAGATCAGGAGTTCGAGACCAGCCTGACCAACATGGAGAAACCCTGTCTCTACTAAAAATACAAAATTAGTACCAGGTGCAGTGGAGGGGTGACTGTAGTCCCAGCTACTCGGGAGGCTGAGGCAGGAGAATCGCTTGAACCCAGCAGGCGGAGGTTGCGGTGAGCTGAGATCGTGCCATTGCACTCCAGCCTGGGCAACAGCAGCGAAACTCCGTCTCAAAAAAAAAAAGGGGGGGACATCCCATAAAAGGTACAAGTATGAGAAAAGATACCAAGAAGCTCAGTAAAAGGAACGCTAAACAGATGAGAGTGTTATTTACATGCCAGCATTCTTAACGTGGGGAGGGAGCTGCCCCTAAGGCAGAGATGAGAGCACATCACATGTTCCCTTCTGGTTACCGGGTCAGGGTGATATGGTCAAGAATAAATACCACACCCAAAGGCAGCAGGTGCAGAGTTGGATAAATGAATAAAGTACTAAAGCTTGAGGTGGTCTTTCCTGATGACACTGACTATTAAGAGTGGGAATGCTGGAATTATGGCAGTCCTCCCTCCTGCCCAATGAAGGAATCCCCTCCTTAACATCAATCCTGTTAAGAAATGAAACCTGAGTTTTTAAGTTACAAATGGAGGCTTCAGAATCTCTTCCATTTCCCCACTCTAACAGTTAGATCAATTGTCCTCATTTATATAACAGCTTTCCCCACAAGCTCATGTATATACAATTTACCTTCAAAGCCAGTGGGGCAGGAAAGCTTCAACAGTCAGCAACAGAAAAGGGAAGCCAGGGAGCAAAAACTAGAAAGGAAAAGATCCCCCAACTTCAGGGGATGTTTAGCGCAACATTGGATAAGAGGAACTGATCTAAACTGAAAGATAGAGTATTAATATTAGAAGGTGAGGAGCAGGATGCGGTGTATTTAAGATGAAAATAATTAATGCAATGAAGATTTACTAGATGAAATGAGAGGGTGGGGCTAGAAAACGGACCACGCAAGTTATCTCACTTAAGCCTGTCAATAATCCAGAGATCAATATTATTAATCCCATTTAATGGGCGATACTACAAACTCAGAAAACTTAAGTAACTTTGCAGAGATGTCAGTGTTGTGGCACAGGTTTACTTGTTACATGTAACACGTAAGGACAGGCAAAGAGATTTCCTCCAACTTGCAATTATTGTTTTTAACTCAATGAATAACTTTAGAGCCAGAATATTTTTAAAGAGAGAAAAGCTTCTCTATGGCTGGATAATTTTAAGACCTCTCTCTGGAGAGGTCCTTGTTAACATGTTTACATCTTCCTGGCTGCTAGCTCCCATGACATCCATACGTACCTCTCCTGAACTGCTCTCTCTACCCTGCCCCACACCACTCATGAAGCAGGGCCAAGGGCATCTTCTTGTGCCCCATATAACAAAATATTGTAATTGCCTGTTTATGTCACTGTTTTTCTTTTTTTTTTTTTTTTTTTTTTTTTTTGAGATGGAGTCTCGCTCTATTGCCCAGGCTGGAGTGCAGTGGCATGGTCTCAGCTCACTGTAACCTCCACCTCCTCCCGGGTTCAAGCAATTCTCCCGTCTCAGCCTCCCAAGTAGTTGGGATTACAGGCGACCACCACCACACCCAGCTAATTTTTGTATTTTTAGTAAAGACAGGGTTCCATCATGTTGGCCAGGCTGATGATCTCAAACTCCTGACCTCAAGAAATCCGCCCATCTTGGCCTCCCAAAGTGCTGGGATTATAGGCGTGAGCCACCGCGCCCAGCCTGTCACTATTTTTCCTCTCTAGACTGTGTACTCCTTTTACATCTATATACCTGATCCCTAATACACTGCTCAATATACTAACAAACATAAAACAAATGTGTGTGGATTCAGCATGCAAATAAACTAAACCACGGACCAATATGATATGGCCAAGAGCCTTTCTAACAAGCAGGAGGAAGCAGCAACAGTCTATCCCTCTCCCTGCATCGCCCCTCCAAAAAATGAGAGAAATATTTTAATTTATAAATTCTGATCAAACACCTTTAGACACACTTGTTATGAAAACTGCCACAGAAATTAGCTTGGCTAAAAACTAGCACAATTATTAGAAGTAGGGACTTAAAGTAAAATTCTATTTTGACTTTGCTGCCTTTATAGGCTTCTTTTGGCCAGAGCTAATACATAAATGAAGAAGTTTTCCTGGGAGGAGTAAGGTTGGCTTCATCTGGTGAAATATTTTATCAACATATTACACTTTCCACTTAGTAGTTCCCTTCACTCACAGAAGTTTCAAGAACCTAAACATATTCTTCCACTTTTAATTAAAAGATTGGTTAATGCAAATTGCCCATCAGTCCCAGAGGAGTCATAATGACGTCTTTTCATTCTGTGATAAAGAATGTGCCTAGCGTTTTCTAGCAAATAACTGCCTAACATTCTCCATTTATTCAACAAAGATTCAAGTGCCTACAACGTATACACCCACGTACAGGAAACCAAAGACTGTCCTGACCTTCAAATTTCTTGGTCTGTGGGAAAATAATAAGGGTGGTCTAGATATTGACTGCTGTGGAAGCTAAAGCAATTCCGTCTTAGATACTGATCCACCATGCTGACTTCTGATTAACTCCAGTTTTAAGATTTCCAGTTTATCTATTATTCCTTGTGAAAGAGCCCCTATTTACTATAAATCCTGCCCTGAGGTCAAACAACCTTGACATTATCATACTTCAGTCATGCCATACCTCCCTTCTGAATCGCCCTTCCCTATGGTATTAAGCCCTGGGTCTGAGGGGTAATGGTATGGGATCCACCATCTTGTCTCGCCAACACGCAAGACACAGACATGGTTTCTGGTCCTAAGTCCCTACTAAACATTTCTTTCTGAGAAACTTGATTTGTCAGCCTCTTTCTTTGGCCTCTCAGCTTCCTCAGACTTTGGGGGTAGGTTTGCATAGACCTACCCACCATGCAAAAGCTAAAAAAAAGAAATGAAACCTTAAAAATTTCTGTCCCATCTCCCATAGTCTCTCCCACTGCACATAATGACTTAGCGATTCCATACCTAGGTATATTTCAGGAGAAATGAAAGCACATGTGGACCAAGGGTTAAGTCACTCAGTCACCCCTTCTCCATCCCAAATGTTAGCAGTGTAACATCAATGCAGTTATTACCAGGATTACCCTAAAAAAATATAGACCCTCACAGGCTATAATGCATAGGCAACTCACTGACAGAAATGGATAGTCTAAGACTTAACCTCTCTCCCAGGTAATAAGAGAACTGTATAAAAAGGTAAGGTTTGAAATGTTCAAATTCTCCCATTTTAAAGGGATCAGAGGCTACTTATTAACATTTCCCATTTACCCCCAAGAAAAGAGCACTGGCAGCAAGCTGCACTTAAAAAAAAAAAAAGGAAATGGGTTAAAGGTAAGTATCTCAAAAGAAGAGCCCATGGCATTCTAAGCAGTGAGCAATAAAGTTCCCATTTAAGTTCCCTTCAAAGTGGCTGGGAATACCTGCACAACCACCTCCCTCCTGCCAAGAGAGAAAAAGAAATAAGAATTTTTAAGTGGATCGAGGTCATACTCATGAACACATCTGACTCAATGCTCACTTATTAAAGTTTACAAAACTCCCAATTCACCTGTCAGCAAACCAAATCTGACCACAGAAGATACGCCCAATAAATTGCTTTCACATGGTTGACTGTGTTTCCAAAATAGGACACTCTGATTCTTGAGAGAGGAGGCAACAGAGTGTTCGCCTATAGTAGTCCCAAACCATAAAGCTCTCCTAGATCAGTAAAGCATCACAACTAATTGGGAAGTGGAAGACATCATATTAGCACAAAGCTGCCCACTTAGATAAAAGCATTTACCAAGCAAGGGGAGATTTTTTTTTAATACCATCTGTTACTGTCATAATTTTCTAACAGAATATCTTAATGTCAGAAAGTAAAAATGACATATTCTTTAAAAAGAAATTATGTTGCATGTCCATTGCCGCATCACAAGAAAATGGCTGGACAGATTTTCACCAAATATGAAATGTACGCTTTGGATAATATAGTAGAGTCAGCTTCCTGGACAGGGGGTAGACTACCCCAGGTGTGGCCTGTAACAGAGTTCTAGCCAACAGAATGTAAGTGGCAGTGACCCTGGACCCTAAACCTTCCCACACTCATATACCCTTCTCCACGCTCTTGAGCCTTCTGTGCTGGACAGTGACGCCCATAAAAGCCATGTTTGACCAAGGGGGAGCTTCCTTCAGCCTGGTGCCCTCAATAACTGTGGGAAGCAGAGCACCCACCCACCTCCTTCAACCTCAAACCACTTTGGGCCATTCATGTAGGAAAGGAATACATTTCTTTTTTTTTCTTTTTGAGATGGAGTTTCACTCTTGTTGCCCAGGCTGGAGTGCAATGGCAGGATCTCGGCTTACTGCAACCTCCGCCTCCAGGGTTCAAGTGATTATCCTGCCTCAGCCTCCCAAGCAGCTGGGATTACAGGCATGTGCCACCACGCCCAGCTAATTTTGTATTTTTAGTAGAGACAGGGTTTCTCCATATTGGTCAGGCTAGTTTTGAACTCCTGACCTCAGGTGATCCGCCCACCTCAGCCTCCCAAAGTGCTGGATTATAGGTGTGAGTCACTGCACCCGGCCATAAATTTCTAATATGTTTATACCATGATACATGTTGAGATTTATTATTATAACACTTAGCCTACACATGATTCCACATGATTGAACTTAAAATATGGGCTATGAATTAATAATTTAAAAGCAATTCAATTTTTAAAAAGACAGAAAATTTGAACATATACTTCAAAGGAATATATACCAATGGTCAATAAGCATGTAAAAAGATGCTTTGCATCATTAGTCATCAGAGCAAAGCAAATTAAAACCATAATGAGATACCACTGCACACCCAACAACTAAATGTAAAAGACTGACAACACCAAAAGTTGGTAGGATGTGGAGCAACTGGAACTCCCATACACTGCTGATGAAGTATAAAATGGTACAACCACTTTGGAAAAAGGCTCAGCAGTTTCTCATAACACATTCACTTACCTTATGACCCAATAAATCTACTCCTAGGTATTTCCTAAGAGAAATAAAACCACCTGTGCACAAAAAGACTTATGTAAGAATTTTTATAGCAGCTTTATTTATTTTTAATTTTTAAGACAGGGTCTCCCTCTGTCACCCAGGCTAGAGTGCAGTCATGTAATCATGGCTCACTGCAGCCTCCACACCCCAAGCTCAAGCAATCCTCCCAACTCAACTTCCCGAGTAGCTGGGACTACAGGCATGTGTCACCATGTCTGGCTACTTCTTTTATTTGTTGTAGAGATGGGTTTTCACCATGTTGCTTAGGCTGGTCTCAACTCCTGAGCTCAAACTATCCTCCCACCTCAGCCTCCAAAAGTGGTAGGGTTATAGGCATAAGCCTTCATGCCCAGCCACAGCAGCTTTACTTACAATAGAAAAAAAATTAAATAGCCCAGGTGTCCAGCAACAGGATATCCAAATGGTGGTATATTCAAATAATGGAATCTTACTCAGCAATGAAAAGAACAAACTGCTAATACATGAAACAACTTGAATGAATTAAAGGATGGACAGACAGATGGAGTAACGTAATAAAAGACACAGGGCAAAATGTTCCTTGTAGAATCTAGATGGCAGATATATAGATATACACTGCAAAATTTTTTCAACTTTTCTGAATATTTGAAATTTTTCATTTAAAAAAAGTGTTTGAAAATTATATAGGCTATAAGGCATATGCATAATTCCTTTTGGAGGGCCCTGGGTGGAGGGAGAAGTGCCTAAAAGAAGTAAGCGGTTTTTACTAAGAGCAGCTAAAACTGAGGAACAGTAAGACATCAATGTGACTGCCAATCAGGACGATGTACACAGTGCCCTGAGATGTCATGGACAAAGGGGATGGCTGTATTTCAATTAAGAGCCTCCCAACTATAGATGTGTTTTGGAGTCAGCCATTTCTCACATGGGCAACTATGTAAGGTAAATCAACAGCAGGGACTTCAACAGTTCATGATTCTCCCAAACAAGGAAGAAGGCAGCTAGTCTCAGAATAAAGGGGAGTCCTTTAAAAATGAAAATATTACACCTGTAATCTCGGTACTTTGGGAGGCCAAGGCGGGCAGATCTCCTGAGGTCAGGAGTTCCAGTCCAGCCTGGCCAACATGGTGAAACCCCATCTCTACTAAAAATACAAAAATTAGCTGGGTGTGGTGGTGGACACCTGTAATCCCAGCTACTCGGGAGGCTGAGGCAGGAGAATTGCTTGAATCCGGGAGGCGGAGTTTGCAGTGAGTGGAGATCATACCACTGCACTCCAGCCTGGGCAACAGAGCAAGACTCCGTCTCAAAAAAAAAAAAAGAAAAGAAAAGAAAAAGAAAAAGAAAATATTTTGTTTTGTAAAAATCTCACTACTTTGTCCACACTTTTCTCAATTCACCGAGTATTCATGAAAACTTCAGTGTGAACCAGGATTTGCACCCACTGGGTAAGGAAAGAGTCTTGGGTCCAAGAAGCTGAATTCTAACCTTGTCTCTGCCACTAAGTAGTGGCACATCCTTTACTAAGACTCTACCTCTCTCTGGTTTACTTTAAGAGCTCATGAACCAACCTAATGGTATATAACAAAGAACAGGGCCAAGAGGGGAGATTTTCCAGGCCCTTGGAGGAGAATGGCAGCCTTTTCCCAAACAGGGAACCATTAAAGCAATCCATGAGCACTTAGCATTAATACCCCAGTTCACGAACCTGAGTTTTGAGCAAGAGCACTAGGCAGAATAGGGAAAACAGGGCTGCAGTCCTCTGTCTACCATTAACCAGCAGCCAGGGAACAGGGCAAGACCTTTAGACTCCCTGGGCCAATCTGCCAACAGTAGACTCAGACCAGATGTGGTCTCATCTAATCCAACCTCCTCATAGATGCCCTCTGAGACTCTGCAGCCGTGGGCACAGGCCAGGAATGCCTCCCCCACCACCAAGTTAAAATCCTACTCATTTAAAAAAATTCCTGTTCAAATGTCACCTGCTTTGTCCGGCCCACCTGGTCACTCCCTCTACATTCTACAGATAACCTCTATTAGAGCCCTCACCACGCTGGAGTGTAATCATCTGTTTATGTGTCTCGTCTCCCAGACTAGACTCTCAGCTTCTCAAGGGTGTTGTTCTTGCCGCACTGGAATTTGTACACCTTGCCCCGAACAGTGCCTAGCACCTACAGGTGCTCAAAGAATAGAATAAACGCATTAATCAATCCCTAATGTCACCCCCCAGCTCTAAAATGCTAGGCTTGACATTTTGAAGTGCAAATGAGACAATGAATGTAAAAGTTCTTTTATTTAGTCGTTTAATAATGTGCATAGTACGTACCAGTCACTGTGACTGGTGCTGGAGACCTCAAGATTGTAAAACACAATCCCTGCCCTGCTGGGACCCCACAACTATGAAAGCGTGTAAACAGTATTTCAAGAAGGGCACCATTAGAGCCTGGTTCCACTTCTCCCCTCACTGACTTCCTTGCAGCTGCAGCTCTCTGCCTCTTTCCCCATGAGCCCTCAATCTGTCCTCAAGCTGCGACCTCTGTCCCAGTTGGCAAAAGTGCAAAATTCTGAAGCAACCACCCGAGCCTGTCGCGGACAACAAAGCCTGCAGTCCCGCGCCCCACTACCCGGACCCCCCTCCCCTGCTTCGGCGAATGTAAAAGTCCGTCTGCACCGAAGGGGATCCCCCCTGCCCAGTGAGCCGCGGTACAGTCCCTCCAAGCGCCGCCCCGGGGGAAGCCGGGCCTTTACTTGCCGACGCCCCCGCTTTCTAAACGGACCTTCGGGCCCGCTCGGGGAGCACAGAGTGTACCTGCGCGGCCCGCTGCTCCTTCCAGTGCTGCATCTGGTCGCTGGCGGGATCCCGGCTGTCAGCCATAGCGTGCGGTTTGCTGTGCAGAACACTGCAGGAGGCCTCGGCTCGTGGGTCTCCACCCTCAGCAGGCAAATCTGCCTGTTGCCCCGAGTCCGTGGCGACTTCAGGCTCAGCCAATCAGCACCACCCCCTCGTCCCGCCCCCTCGGGAGGACTGCCTTCTGATTGGCTGCTCGGCGCTAGGCAGGCCAAGATTGGAAGCCCAATGGGCTCGGAGCAGGGCTCTCCGAAGGAGGCCTGAAGACCGGAGATACCCAGGAGGGTGCGGAAAGGAAGGGTCCCGCTCTGGCCCAGCAATTGGAGAGCCTCGCCCCGCCGGCCCGGGGTGCCCGGGATAGCCGAACCCAGGGCGGGGCTCCCGGTTATCAGCATCCTTCAGGCCGCCCTGGGACGCGGCCGTTGGTGGCCTGCCAGTTTTGCAGACGGAATACTTAGACCCTGCTGGGTGGGGCCTTGCGCTCCATAGCTATGCTTTCTCAGCTCTTAAAAAGTCAGCAATCCTGGGTTAAATTACTCTGTACAAAATTAAATTTTGCCATACGCTAATGTAAGTATTATTTGCAACCAAAGGATGGATGGATGCTTTTCTTTTTCTTTCTTAGCTCTTCTTAACTTATTCGTGGATTATCACTTACTAGACTAGTATACTAATTATTTAATATAAAAACACTCTGAAACGTTTATCTCCGTACAGATGGGTGTTGATTTCCTCCTTTACCAGAGAAAAACAACTTAACTTAGATGGGAAAAATGTATTCCCTTGTGATGGGAAAAATGTATTCAACTCTGGTACACTGCCAAATTGGCTTCTTTAAACACTGGAGAAATCTGCTTCCCCAAATTTTACCCCCAGGTAAGCAGGAATTTTGAAAAGCTTTGTGTCTTTAAAAAGCTATGTTGAAGAGTAAAATACTTAGTAATATATAGTACAATATTTAGTAAGTTACTGACTAGTTTGTCATTGTAATCAAAGAGTTTGAATGATTTCTACACCTCCTCAGGTGCTAGGATTTATCTTTAAGCACCTTAATATATATACATAGTATATACCATCATCTTCAAATTAAAAGTTATCAGCTTTTAATTTTTTCCAGTACAACTACATATAATGGGTGGATATATAATAGTGGAAACTTCACATGTTGTTCTTGATCTTACAAAAGTATGATAAGAATCTTGGGCATAAAAGTGGAACTTTAGCAGTTCATTGGAAAAGAAAGCCACAAATTGATCTTTAGCACCCTATACTTTTCCTATATTAAAAACAATTATAAAGATGCTGTTGGCTGTGTAATTTGGTGTCTTTTTCTACCTGCCCGATCCATACTGCCAAGACTGTAAACTCCATGTGGGTCAGGATCCTCCCATCCATAATTTATTGAGCACTTACTATATACCAGGGACTATTCTCAGCTTTTTGTATATTTGCTTAGTTAACCCTCCCAACAACCCTATGAGTTAGATACTAATATTATCTTCATTTTACAGATTAGGAAACAGAGGTATAGGGAGGTTAAATAACTTGCCCAAAGTTACACAGCTATTAAGGGATAGTCAGGATTCTAGCTTCAGCTGTTCATCTCCAAAGTCCACAGTTTGTTGAATAAATAAATGTTGAAATAATCGAGCAAATCATCTTCTTAACTAACCAACACAAATATCAACAAAATAAATAAGAGACCTGGAGTCATTTCTTAACCTTTATTCATTATATAAAAAAAAGCATGTTTTTTTTTCCTTTGTTTTTGTTACTATGGATTTGAATTCCTAAAGAATTATTTCTAGAGAAAGAAATGGAGAAACAAGACTGGTTTCTGATCTTGTCATATCTTGTATTTTAAAATAAAGGGCAGGCTTACAAGTAATGACAATAAATTTATAATGTTACATAGGAGGCTGGGTGCGGGGGCTCACGCCTGTAATCCCAGCACCTTGGGAGGCCGAGGCAGGCGGATCACTTGTGGCCAGAAGTTCGAGACCAGTCTGGCCAACATGGTAAAACCCCACCTCTGCTAAAAATACAAAAATTAGCTGGGCGTGGTGGCACACGCCTGTAGTCTCAGCTACTCAGGTGGCTGAGGCGAGAGAATCACTTGAACCCAAGAGGCGGAGGTTGCAGTGAGCCAAGATTGTGCCACTGCACTCCAGCCTGGGTGACAGAGTGAGGCTTCATCTCAAAAAAATTAAAAATTAAAAAAAGTCACATATTAGGTGGAAGTTCTATCGACTATAATTACAGCTTAAATGAAAACACTTCTTAAAATCAGCCCTAGTTAAAAAATACTTGAAACCAAACCAATACAATTACCTAAAGGTAATTGCAAGTGATTGGTTAGGTAAACAAATTGGGTTCTAGGTTTTAATATTTTAGTCATATGAATTCATGGGTATTTTTATTGATATAAATAAAAATGTTATTTTAAAAATGCTGTTCTCTGAAGTCAATTTTCAGAACTCAATGAAAATAAAATATACTGGCACAAGACATACTGTTATTAATCCTGGTATCAACAAATTTGAAACCAAGCTTGCAAAGTAGACCATGTAACAAATGTTCAAGAAAAACATTTGAGTACTCAGCTAGGAATCTTTATAGACAAATTTTATTTCATCAGTATTGCAAGAAAAGAATGGAGAGAATGAACATCATGTGTTGTTGGATGACAGGCATACAAGACAGCACAAGGGGTAATTACTCTGTTCTGATTCCACCCATCCTCAGAGAGGCCGAGAATGTTCTACATATTTCAGTTTCATTCTCTTCACAGTGGCCTTGTGAGGTAAATTCAGAGTTAGGCAAAAAGGAAGAGAAAAGAACACAACAAGAAACAAAGAGAGTTACAATTCAGTATTGGCTGTTGGCTTTAAGAGAAGAGAATAAACATCACCACAGCTCCATGACTCCTGTTCACTGTGGAACAGGCTTGAGCAAGCCAAAGAAGAAGGTGGGATTTGCTTTAAAAAGTAGCAGTGGTGTTATATGCAGTAGCAGCACATACCTTCTGCTCTGCCTATTTGGCTGCACCATATCTTTCCCGCTTTAATATGAATAATTGCCTACTTGGGAGGAGGCAACCCAGATGTCCTCTGGTGTCTGGTGATGGCCATAGCATGAGCTATGCTAAGGAGAAGAACATGGATGTGCCTTTTCCCGCCTCGGCCTTACGTGCCACGCTACTGATCTGGTGTTTGCAAAAAAAGGAAACATAGGCCAGGCCTGGTGGCTCATGCCTGTAATCCCAGCACTTTGGGAGGCCAAGACAGGTGGATCTCTTGAGGTCAGGAGTTCAAGACCAGCCTGGTCAACATGGCAAAACCCTGTCTCTGCTAAAAATACAAAAATTAGCTGGGCGTGGTGGCTCTTGCCTGTAGTCCCAGCTGCACGTGAGGCTGAGGCAGGAGAATCGCTTGAACCCAGGTGGCAGAGGTTGCAGTGAGCCGGGGTCATGCCACTGCACTCCAGCCCGGGTGACAGAGCAAGACTCCGTCTCAAAAACAAAACAAAACAAAAAACAGAAGAAACATAGAAATAATAATTGGGAATTTGTTTTTACCTTCACTTTTTTTTCTTTTTTTTTTGAGACGAAGTCTCGCTCTGTCACCCAGGCTGGAGTGCAGCGGCAAGATCTCGGCTCACTGCAAGCTCTGCCTCTTGGGTTCATGCCATTCTCCTGCCTCAGCCTCCCGAGTAGCTGGGACTACAGGCGCCCGCCACCACACCCAGCTAATTTTTTTGTGTTTTTAGTAGAGACGGGGTTTCACCGTGTTAGCCAGGATGGTCTCGATCTCCTGACCTCGTGATCCACCCACCTCGGCCTCCCAAAGTGCTGGGATTACAGACGTGAGCCACCTCGCCCGGCCCTTAACTTATTTTTTATACTTACTAATGGAGGCTTGGAAAATGCAGGATAAAATATCAAACAATCATTCAAAGATTACGATAAACAGGTAACATTTTTACCAATATTTTCTCTCTTATATGTTTGTAAAGGAGTGTGTGTGTGTGTGTGAGAGAGAGTTTTACAATGGATCCTATAGAATACATAATCTTATATCCTGCTTTTTCCACCTAACATTATCAGATAAAACTTTTTCCAAGTCATTAAATCTTTTTCCAAAATGTGATATTTTTCTCCTATGCCTACACAATTTGCAATCAAAGGACTATTCCTTTATTTACATACTCCTTTACTGAGAACATTTAAATTGTTTTCTTCTATAACAGTACAGTGACATCCTTCCTCTACATTTGTATTTATTTCCTTAGGACCTGTTTTCAGAGGTCATTTTTGGTTCAAGTCATTTGAACTTTTTAAGGTTCTTGTGACATGTTGTTGATTGTTTTCTGCAATGCTCGAGCTAGTTTATACTGTCACAGGCACTGAGAGTGTGGATTGGAAGTGCAATTTTCAAGACAGGTGAATATCTGGATTCTGGATGTTCATCAATTGCATATTTCATCACATTCTTCTGAGAGAGAAGGCCTCTCATGTTATGTTCAGCCATAACCACTAACCCATGGGAGTCATCCAATATACTGGATGTCTGCTGTGTCCTGGGCCCCCTGCCTATTGGGCTCTGGGAGTACAACAGCAAAGGACGTGGACATAGACAAATAATCAGACAATAACACGGGGAAAAAGTGCTGAGAGAAGGGAAGGCCAGCTGTTATTAGGATTACCTAAGAAGGTCGCCTAACCTGAACCTGCTAAGTCATGGAGGCTTTGAGTAAAGCTGAGAAACTGAATAGGTGTCAGGCGTGGTGTCAGGAGTAAGCATTATATGATCCACCCTGCTACCGCAGAAATCCAGATTGTTAACCACTTTTCCCTAAAAGTCTGACTTCATTCATGGTGATATGGAGATGGCTTGAGTAGGACTCAGTAGCAAGCAAATATTTACAACAGGTGTTGAGCCTTTTTCAAGTTTGTGCAGGTCCACTGGCCTCTGAACTTGACTTTGACTAGCTTAAGCTCCTGCGGCTCACCCACATTCCCTCCTTGCCTCTGGGCTCCTGCAAGGCCTGGGTCAACCAGTCATGTTTAACTACTGGGATTCACATGCTTGGATTGAAGTTATTTTTCCAGTGCTGCTCTCTCAGAGGTATTTTGCTTGCCTCCCTTGTTTATGCTTTAAATGTTGCACCTGGGCTTGACCTTGGGTTTAAGTCTGTTTGCAGAAACCAGACATGGGTTCTTGTACTCTGACAATAAAAATAAAAAGTCAAACCTCATAGACAATCAACACATTCATTATGGACTGAGAGCACACACAATTATGCATCTGTGGAGAAATGAATAGTTATGAAGTATACATGTTTGGGTGGAACCATTGGTCATAGCTAGGAATGGTCAACTAGGGGGAACGGAACAGGTAGCTCTCTTCTCCCTTTCTTTACCATAAACCCAGATCATTACCTAGTAGGGCTCAAGAGAAAAAATAGCATGGTACATGGTTAACAGCCCCAGCGCTAGCATCAGAGCACTTGGGGTCAAATCCCACCATGGCCATTTACAAACTGTGTGAACTTGGGCAAGTCACTTAATTTTTCTAAGCTACCATGTTGCTTTTGTAAAATGGAGATAGTAACACCTTCTATATTAGGTATCACCCAAGCTTCTATAACAAAAAGAGCCTCCCAAAAAACCAACAAAATAGCATAGACAAGATCAAAGCTTATTTCTCTCACAATAAAGCATTTCAGACCTAAATGGTACAGGGCTGGTTAGGCAACTCTGCCATCCTCAATACATAGCTTCCATCTCTGAGTCCAATGTAGCTGCTCACTTGATCATAACTGCATGCCAGCCAGTGGGAAGGGGGACAAAGGAGCAAAGGGAGCCCATGTCCTTTCCTTTTTAGGGCACAATTTGGAAATAGCACACTTTATTTCTACTCACATTCCATTGGCCAGAATTTCGTCACATGGCTATGCCTAGCTATACAGGAAACCGGGAAATGTAGTCACTGGCTGGGTGGCCATGGGCTTGACAAAACTCAGGCATTCTATTATAAAAGAAAAGGGAAGTGAATATCGGTGGCTGATCAGCAGCACCGGCCACACTGACCTCCAAGGGTAGTTGGAGGTTTAGGGAAGATTATATGAACCATATGAGTTAGTTATCTGTATTATCTGATTATTAGTATTTCTATTTATTCTGGAGTGCCATGTAGCTCTTGTATGAGTTGCAACGCTGTTCAGAAAATACAGCAAACTTTGTTGTAGGATATACTATTATACTCATCCTTGCGGGATGTGCTGTAGTTCAGAGACTGCCTCTGGACACTGAAGTTTGGCTCCAAGGTCACATTATGATGAACAAAGGCCAACCACTGCCCTAAACCAAACCTTCCTATCCCACAAAACCATCCTTTCAAAACATATTTTGTTTAATTGACAAACACTTAATATTGCTCTTACTATGTCTAGGCTCTACACTGAGGGATTTTCCAATATTAACCCATCTAATCCTTATAACAATCCTATAAGAGGGAATGGACTCTTACTACCTTCACTTTACATCTGAGGGCACTAAGGTACAGAAAGGTTAAGTAACCTCCCGAAGTTACCCAGATAGTTTGCAATGGGGCCAGGATTCGAACGAGACAGTGTGGCTCTGGAGATCACATCTCCACTCCTACGTTGTTCTGCCTGTGACAAAGTGGGCAGGAATAAAGGAAGATCTTGAGTGAGTGTTCTACATTCTTAGAATTTAACTCCAGCATTGCACTACCCTCTGCCCACCTGAAGACGCGGTGTTACGGGAAGCACCCTGAGTAAAGCAATTGTGAAATCCATGTTTTGTACCCACATAGTTGAGAAGAACCACAAGAAAATGACATTCTTCTCAGTCTTTAAAAGACAAAAAATGGGAAGTTGTTATGGATTTGTAATATAAGAGCATGACAGGCCTAGAGAGCCACATGGGATTGAGGAACAGCCAAAGGCAGGAATGAGAGTGCTGGAGAAGAGGCAGCTTGCAGAGCAGCAAGGATGAAGGAGGAGGAGGAAGATCTCTAGCTGCCTCTCCTTCCTGACAGCAAAGGGCAGGCAGAGACTTAGCTAAACAAGTTCATTCAAAGAATCATTTTCCACCAAGCAAGAGGACCTGTTGCCCTGTATCATCTTATATGCAGCTCCTGTTCCAGGATACGTGGACATAAACAGATTCAGTTCTGAGACACTGTGACATGAAGCAAAATTCTCCTTCTTGTGTCAGATGTGGAAAGCAATTGCTCCAGGCAACCTGAAAATGAAGATCTATTTACTTCTTTTTTTTTAACTGAGAAAATAAAGAGAAACGTTATTTTATTTCCTTGTTTGTCCTCTATATAAATTCTGAAACAAATAAATCATGTCTAGTGCCTACCTGCCTCATCAGTGGGAACTGAACTTGCATTGATTCCAGAAAGACCAAACAAAGGACAGTCTCAATCTGCAGTGACATGATCCCATTTGTGACATTTAATGCAGTTCATATTTCTAACCTGAATATCAAAGGGCTAATTTTTTTTGTTTATGTGATCTTTGGCATATTTTTCTCATGGAGCTTCTTTCTGCCATTTAAATTTGTCTTCATTCTCTCCTGTTTTCTTTTTTCTCTGTTTCCTTTTTTAGCTCCTGGTGGGGCCTCACAAATGAAATTAAGGCCATTCTTTACACATTCATCTCCCATAAGCAATCTATTTTCATATGATTATTGTTCTTTAAGATACTGCTGCCTTCATTCTTCTTGTTTCTTCTTATCATATATTTTCTGTTCTGCCATTCATACTTTTTTTTTTTTTGAGATAAAAGTCTCACTCTCTCGCCCAAGCTGGAGTGCAGTGGCGCCATCTCCGCTCACTGCAACCTCCGTTCTCGGGTTCAAGTGATTCTCCTGTCTAGCCTCCTCAGTAGCTGGGACCACAGACACACGGCTAATTTTTGTATTTTTATAAGAGAGGAGGTTTCGTCATGTTGGCCAGGCTGGTCTCGAACTCCTGGCCTCAAGTGATCCGCCGGCCTCAGCCTCCCAAACTGCTGGGATTACAGGCATGAGCCACCACACCCGGCCCATTCATACTTTTTTGATACTGGATTTGGAGGCAAGATGAACATCCTTCTTGCACATGACATTGTCAGAGGATTTCCCCATCCTTGAGCCAGAGCTGGGGAAAGCAGTGGCTAGCTCTGTAAGCAACATAAACGAACTACTTAGCAAGCACTAGCTTAATTCTCTGAAACTTTGTACTGGGATTTTTCCCAATCCCATCCCACCCAATATTCTAAATGTCAATGAATAACAATCACCGTTGCCTTTCTCTTGTCTGGCTGGCCCCTGAGGTGTGAAACAACTTACTCGATGGGCAAATTATAGATGATACAATATTAGGATTTGTATCATCTTTCTCTTAATGCCCTTTTAAACTCTGCATCCTCAAAAGAAGCCAGAAGCCACGTGGCTCAGCTTGGGGGCCTGTAGTTTACCATGTTGTCTTCTCAGGAAGACCTTTCTTGACCACTTCTTTTAATCTTATAGCTTCCTCTGGCACTTCCTGTCATGCCTTCCCTGCTTTGTGTTTTCTCTGTGATCCTTCTCCCTTTTAACATACTATATAACCGATTTCATTTGTTTATTGGGTATTTCTCCTACTAGAATAGAAGTCCATGAGGATTGGTGGGTTTTGTTTCTGGTTTTGAATTTTCTGCTTATTCTTAGCACCTGCAACAGTTTTCTGGCACCCAGGATATTTGACTAAATGAATGAACAAGCAAGTGAATTAATAGATGAGGTAATACCGGGATAAACCATGTTACAAATAACCAGAGTAAGTGACAATTTGCCTTGAGGGATTTGAGGGAGAATTTGATCAGATGCCTGGCTCAAATACAGATACCCTCCCATTTCATTTTTAAATATATTTTCCTTTAGGACTTGAGTACTTTCCCATATTCTCAAAAAGAGTCCTCTTTTAAAAAATAGATATATTGCCGGGTGCAGTGGCTCATGCCTGTAATCCCAGCACTTTGGGAGGCTGAGGTGGGCAGATCACCTGAGGTCAGGAGTTCGAGACCAGCCTGATCAACATGGAGAAACCTCATCTCTACTAAAAGTACGAAATTAGCCAGGCATGGTGACATGCACCTGTAATCCCTGCTACTCGGGAGGCTGAGGCAGGAGAATCTCTTGAACCAGGGAGGTGGAGGTTTCAGTGAGCCAAGATCATGCCATTGCACTCCAGCCTGGGCAACAAGAGTGAAACTCTGTCTCAAAAAAAAAAAAATAGATATATTACCCCCATTATGAACCTTCTGACATGGTACACCAGGAAGGACTCAACATCGCTTCTGTGGCATTCCTATCAAAAATGCATACTCTGAATCTAATCATGAGGAAACATGAGACAAACTCCAACTGAGGAACAGTCTACAACTGGCCTTTTCAAAATATCAAGATCATGGAAGTTAAGGACTAAAGAACTGTTCCAGTTTAAAAAAGACTAAGGAGACATGCCAACTAAGTATGAAGAGTGTTCCTGGACTGGGTCTTGGAACAGACGGAAAAGACTTCAGAAACATTATGGAGACAATTTATGAAATTTAATATGGGCCATAAACTTAATATGAATAAGAATATTGTATCAATGTTAAATTTCCTTGTTTTGATCATTAGACTGCAGTTATGTAATCTCTTACATCAGAGATTTCTTTTGTGTCTTAGAAAATACACATTGAAGTATTTAGTGGTAAAGAGGCATGATGTCTGCAACTTACTCTCAAATGGGCCAGAAAAAAATATACATCATATATATCCATATACACATGTAAGTAAAGAGAGCAAGCACTTGACAAAATAAATAGAGCAAAATCTGGGTAAAGGGTAAACTGGAGTTACTTATACTATTTTTGTAACTTTCTGCAACTTAGTATTATATCAAAGTAAAAATTTACAAATAAGTATACGTATATTCCTAGGGTGAGTCATACATGAGCATCTCAGGTAATACCTTCATTACAAGTTATTCAGTAGCTGAGAGCAAGAACTGGACACTCTCACTTTTGTTACTTCTTCACCCCAACCTGAGGACCCCCACATGAAGATGAGGAAGAAGTGGAAGACATTAAATTCAAACTTCACCTACATCACCGTTTTGCCTTGGACCCAGTGACTTTTACAGAAACAAATTGAGACACAGAGAAGTTACATAGATTAAAAGATAGAAATACGGGTTAGGGCCAGGCAAGGTGGCTCACACCTGTAATCCTAGCACTTTGGGAGGCCGAGGCAGGTGGATTGCCTGAGCTCAGGAGTTCGAGACCAGCCTGGGCAACATGGCAAAATCCTGCCTCTACTGAAAATACAAAATATTAGCCAGGCATGGTGTTGCATGCCTGTAATCCCAGCTACTCAGGAGGCTGAGGCAGGAGAATCTCTTGAACCTGGGAGGCGGAGGTTGCAGTGAGCCAAGATCATGCCACTGCACTCCAGCTTGGGTAACAGAGCAAGACTCCTGTCTTAAAAAGAAAGAAAGAAATACAGCTTGGGGTGGCAACTCACACCTGTAAGTCCAGACCTCTGGAAGGTTGGAGCAGGAGGATCTCTTGAGTCCAGGAGTTCGAGACCAGCCTGGGCAACATAGTGAGACCTTATCTTTACAAAAAAAATTAAAAATTAGCTGGGCATGGTGGTTCACACCTATAGTGCCAGCTACTCAGGAGGTTGAGGTGGGAGGATCAGTTGAGCCCAGGAGGTAGAGGTTGATCAGTCCACTGATGATAGCTCACTGCACTCCAACCTGGGCAAGACAGCAAGACCCTGTCTCAATAAATAAATAAGTAAGTTAAAAAGTAGGAATATATAAACAGTTAACCAGACAGGCTACACAGAGAAATGACCAAACTATTTTCTTAACCCTTATACATTATGAGATTTAATGTGTTAATACTTATAAAACCCTGAAGTCATCTGACAAAATGTACCCTAAGCTTGCCTTTTATTATCCTGAGATAAGGAATTACTTGACAATGAACATCGTTTCTGACTTTTTTATGACAGTATAATTGGTTGACATTAGTTTAATAAATATCAGTCACAATTTTCAAAATAGGCCCTGATTTTATGGCTGCCTTTGGTGATGTTTGGAACATGCCATCTCTTGCGCTATTAAGTTTACAGATTATTCTGTGTATTGTTCTGTTAGCAAGAACCCTAGCAACACAAGTCTTGATGTCTGAAGTTAACTAAGTGCAAGAAAGCACCTTATCTTATAACAACTTGCATTCCTCAAACATCTGAGCTTCTGTTGAGTGTCCTCAGTAATCATCAACCCTAAAGTAACCCTTGAGCAAGGGAAAGTAGGGTGTTGGAAAGGAGCTGGGGCAGCTGAAGCCCACGACAAAAAAAAAAAAAAAAAAAAAAAAAAAAAAAAGATGCCAAAAGTGCCAGTCATCAAAACTCTTGAGTGCTGTAATGAACGCTCCAGGGAGCATTGTAGTTGGGAGAATGATTCAGCAGTGGCTGACTCTAGGCTACATGGACAGATTCAACGAAGTTTATGGTCAAAAGCATTGCACTGGCTGGAGGCAGAGGAGGTGTGTGGTTTGTAACAGAAAAAGGCATTTGTCCTCCTTACATCATATTACCCTGTGTTATTACTCTCTGCCCCTCTCAAATATATCAACACGAAAGCTCTGTGACCTAAAGATGAAAAGAAATCATTTGCAAAGGTCAAACATTTTTGTGTTATGAAACACAAAAGTCTATGAAATCCACCACATACATTGTGAAACCAAAGTCAAGGTTCTATTTATTCTGTGCCAGTTCAGTGTAGGAAGAAAAAGAAGTGATGAGGCATATTTTTAAAGACAAAAAACTTAAAAAAAATGGACAAAATTATGACTGCAGACATGTGGAGAGTCCTATCTACACCCTGTCAGATGGTCCAAACACTCCACTCCCAACCATTTAGCCAAACTTTGCATCTGTTTATGGCTACATCTAGGAAATCAAAAGCAGATGACAACATCATCACTGCAGCCAATGTTTGTAGCAAATATTCCTTCTCTCCAAAGGCTTAGAAATTTGTGAACGTGGAGCCAGGAAGACGGAATCATAATTAAATGCAGATGTGCTATCATGTTATGCTATTATGCACCTAAAAGAAACAATGACCTGGAGTGCAAAACCAGTGTCTCCCTGAGAGAGCCCCAGATGGCACAGTCGGGCTAAGGACAGATTTCACTGTGGGGACCTGGCTGTGAAGGAAGGCCTAGAAGGAAACTAAAGAGATAAACATTGAGATTAGAGAGTCTACCTTCGTCAATTTAAAAAAAGAAGAAACAAAGATATTAGAGAAAACTCATATTGATCAAGACTAGATCTCAGTTCTGAAATTCGGAGGAAAGTACTGTTTGTCCAGAATAAAAGGAGGGAATTTGCAAAATCCAAAGAATAGTGGATAAGGCATGGATTAAAATAGCTTCAGGCCAGGCACAGTGGCTCACTCCTGTAATCCCAACACTTTGGGAGGCAGAAGCTAGAGGATCGCTTGAGCCCAGGAGTTTGAGACCAGCCTGGGCAACATAGTGAGACCCTGTCTCTAAAAAAAAAAATTAAAAATTAGCTGAGCATCATTGCACACGCCTGTAGTCCCAGTTACTCCAGAGGCTAAGGTGGGAGGATTGCTTGAGCCTAGGAGGTTGAGGCTGCCGTGAGCTGTGATTGTGCCACTACACTCCAGCCTGGGTGACAGAGTGAGACCCTGTCTCAAAAACAACAAATAAACAAAAAATAGCAGCTTCAGTAGAAGCACATTTATCCAGAGGTGGAGGGAAGGAGGCCTGGCTACAAGAAACCTTCATGCTCAACTGGCAAATTCAGCTCTGATTGTAAAGCATAAAAGGAAGTATTTTTAGAGCAATACTTACTCAGGAAACAGTAAAACTGAACATTGTGTTTCATCATAACTGGCTCTAACTTGCTGTGGCTGATTAGGACCATAAATTTTGAGTGATTCAGGTATGCCAGACCCTCAAAGAATCTAACTGAAAACTGTTTATTGACCAATGAACCACAGGACTTGTTTTAACCAACATACAGGCCTGTGGACTCTTTCCTCTCTATCCACAGTGCTAGTTTTCAATCCTTAATTTGTGGCCGTTAACAACCGCTGATTTGTACCCCCTCAGTGAAACTACTCAATCGACTTTTTTCTATAAAATATATTCCATTGTCTGGCAAGTTTTAAAAAAACACTTGATTTTTTTTAAGCACTGAGGACCTTTATATATATTTTTTTTTCAATATTTTATATATATTTTCAATAGCTTTAGGGGTACAAGTGGTTTTTGGTTTCATGGATAAATTGTATAGTGGTGAAGTCTGAATTTTCAGTGCACCCATCACCCAAGTAGTGTTCTTTGTACCCAATAAGCAGTTTGCCATCCCTCATTTCACTTCCACCCTCCCCCTTCTGAGTCTCAAATGTTCGTTATACCACTCTGTATGTCCTTGCATACACATAGCTTAGCTCCCACTTACAAGTGAGAAAACATGTGGTATTTGGTTTTCCACTCTTGAGTTACTTCACTTAGAATAATGGCCTCCAGTTTCATCCAATTTCCTGCAGAAGACCTTCTTTTGTTCTTTTTTATGACTGAGTAGCATTCCATGGTGTATGTAGACCATATTTTCTTTATCCATTCATCAGTTGACGAGCATTTAGGTTGATTCCGTATCTTTGCAATTGTGAATTGTGCTGCAGTAAACATATACATGCATGTATCTTTTTGATTTAATGACTTTTTTTTTCCTTTGAGTAAATAGCCAGTTGTGGGATTGCCAGATTGAATAGTAGATCTACTTTTAGTTTTTCAAGAAACTTCCATACTCTTTTCTGTAGAGGTTGTATTAATTTACATTCCCACCAGTAGCATATAAGAATTCCTTTTTCACCACATCCTTACCAACATCTGTTGTTTTTTGACTTTTTAATAATAGCCATTTTGGCTGGGGTAGGTGATATCTCATTGTGGTTTTAATTTGCATTCCCCGATGATTAGTAATGTTGCACTTTTTAAAAATATGTTTGTTGACCATTTGTATATCTTCTTTTGAGAAATGTCTATTCATGTTCTTTGCCCACTTTTTGATGGGATTATTTGCTTTTTTCTTGCTGATTTGTTTGAATTCCTTGTCGATTCTGGATATAAATCCTTTGTTGGATGCATGGTTTGCAACTATTCTCTCCCATTCTGTGGATTGTATGTTTACTCTGATTATTATTATTATTATTGCTGTACAGAAGCTTTTTCGTTTTTGTTGCATTTGCTTTTGGGGTCAGTCATAAATTTTTTATGTTAACCAATGTCCAGAGGAGTTTTTTCAAGGTTTTCTTCTAGAATTTTTATGGTTTCAGGTCTTAAAGATCTTAATCAAATATCTTTTTTAAAAAAGAGGAACGTGAACAAGAAAGATAAAGGATGATGTGTGTAAAAAGCTAAAGGTGACTGTAGCCCCTAAAAGCTGTATAAAGAAGGGTAGGGTTTGGAAAGTGCCAGCTAATGCTTCCCCATCCCAGGTGTGAGGCAAGGACAATGGAAGGGATGTGAGTACACAGGGATCATTAAGAGACATGTGGCCTCTTTGGATGTAATTCCTGGAGTCCCAGCCACCACTACTGGCCCCTACCTCCATCCCAATGCTTTGGATTTCCTGGTTACAACAGCAGTGGGAAAACTGAAAATCCATTCTTTTTTTTTTTTTTTTTTTTTTTTGAGATGGTGTCTTACTCTGTCACCCAAGCTGAAGTTCAGTGACACCATCTTGGCTCACTGCAACCTCCACCTCCGGATTCAAGTGATTCTCATGCCTCAGCGTCCCATGTAGCTGGGATTACAGGCACCCACCCCCATGCCCAGCTAATTTTTGTATTTTTAGTGGAGACAGGGCTTCACCATGTTAGCCAGGCTGGTCTCAAACTCCTGACTTCAGGTGATCCACCCACCTTGGCCTCCCAAAGTGCTAGGATTACAGGCATGTCTGGCCTGAAAAGCCATTCTTGCAAGAGCTGTTGGTTCGACTCTTCACTTGGAGTCCAGGTTTCTACTGCCAGGGGCACCACCACATCCTGGCATCTCTCCTAATACCACACCATCGTCACCATGGCAACTGTTGCCTCCTCTCGTTTAGTTGCCATCACCTCCACAAGCTTTCACCGCCCCAGTGAGGTACCTCTCCCAATCATGTTGATGTGCCCACAGTACAGGGAGACCAACCATCCTGGTTTACCTGGGACAGAGGGGTTTCCTGGGATGTGGGACTTTCAGTGTTAAAATGGGAAAAGTCCCTGGCAAATCAGGATAGTTGGTCACCTTACCACCATAGTTGCCACAACTGCCACCGCCACTGACTGTGTCTTTGAAGTCGAGGTGGGAACAGTGGAGCATACTTCTGTCCTATGAAACAGTGCTAGGGCAGCTTTTACTTCCACCTTGAGTGCCCTGCCAAGCCCTCAGGGGAAATTCACACATCTCCATTTCCTTGAATGGAATCACGCAACCCTAGGAGGCTGCACTGCCTTCCCTCAGGCCATTTCTCGGTGACAGCTGTGTCCACCCCACTGTCACCCCAGCGATGTTGGCTCCAGGCTGAATCTGCCCATCTTTCCCGCTCCGTTATCTCTGAGGAGGACCTTCACCACACAACCTGAGGAAGGCAAACTGGACTTAAAACTTACTGCAATTGTCTATACGTGTGCACCAATACAATCCATAGAATACTCATGATTTTTAACTGTAAAATCTGCTCAAGTGTTATGCTAAAAGGGTGGAGAAATAATACTTTCAGATAGTTTTTTTCAAAAGAAAGAATGAAATATTTAAAAGAGAAATTTGTTAATCTCACCAAAAGCCTCTTTTTAAAAAAATTGAAATGATACTAATATGCTGTTTTTTATAAAGCCATATATATTCCCTTCAAGTGCTTTAGAAAATAGAGAAAATCATATAAATTTAACCTCCCAAAATCACCCCCAAATTTTACCATCCCAAGATAACCATTGTTAATATTTTTTCACAATTTGATGAATACTCTTCTAGTTTTATCTATGAATGTTTATGCACTTAAATATAGAAGGCTTTAAATAAAATGAGATCATATATATTATTTACAAATATTACATATATACATACTATATAACTTGTGCTTCTCACTTAATATGTCATAAACATCTTTCCATGTTGACAAATAAAAATCTCCATGATCGTTTTTAATGGCTACATGATATCCCATGTATTCCACAGTATTCCATGGATGTTTATTCTAGGCCTTCTTAGCTGCGGTAGATAGCAGCAGAAATTCTCCAAAGAGAAGCTTTTAAGAAAGCATTTTTCTTAACGGCTGCCTCCACTTCATTGCAGTGTTGACATCTCTTAAAAGCCTGCCAAAACTCCAATTCCCACAGTTGTTTACAGAGTAGCCCATAAAATAAGATATCTGAAATGGCATCTTTATCAAACATCACCAAAAAGAGGAAATAGAAAACCCAGAGGCACTCTGGTCTAATAGCCGTGATTCTTGTAAGTAGACTATTCCAGAAAACAAAAACAAAGAGGGGAAAGTAACTGAACTTCCAAACACTGGCAGTGCAATCCAAAGAGGTGAAAAGCAAATTCACATGAGCTGAATAAAGAAACTAGCAATCAGGAAGGAAGCACAGGGGAAATCACAAAAGAAAGCAGAAGAGCAGCCCTTGAGATAAGAAAAAGGAGGCAAACATGAGAAGGGTTCTTCAGAACTTGGAGATCACTGTAGATAACAGCAGAAGCACGGCCCGGCACCGTGGCTAATGCCTGTAATCCCAGCACATTGGGAGGCCAAGGTGGGCAGATTACCTGAAGTCAAGAGTTCGAGACCCACATGGCCAACATGGTGAAAACCCATCTCTACTAAAAATACAAAAATTAGCGGGGCATGGTGGCACGTGCCTGTAATCCCAGCTACTCGGAAGGCTGAGGCAGGAGAATCACTTGAACTTGGGAGGCAGAGGTTGCAGTGAGCCGAGATCACGTCACTGCACTCCAGCCTGAGTGACAGAGTGAGACTTCATCTCGAAAAAAAAAAAAAAACACCAAGCAGATGCATGAAGAAAGAGAAACAAAGGTATAGGAAACAAATGCAGGAGTGCAGACTAATACTTAAATGTCTTTTTTGGTCAGGGCTTTTAGTTGTGAAATATTTTATACTTAAAAATTTGAATATGATATAATTTATATATATGCAATACATACACATATTATAGAGAATAATAAAATCAAACATCTGTGATTCACCACTCAGCCTAAATAGAATCTTACCAATATGGGTAAAACCTTTCGCATATCCTTCCCTGATATTCCCCTTCCTCTCCCTTGCTTTCTTTTATGGTTTAATCAAACATATGTGTTCTATACATAATATACAGAGGGGAGAGTTAGCCTGTTTTTAAACTTTATATAAATGCTATGTGTTCTTTTGTAAACAGAAAACCTGCCTGAACAGAGTCCATCTTTAAGATTTAGAATGTCTGAGTATGTATCATAAGTGGTGGGGGAGGCAAAAGGAAAGTCCCCTTGCATGAAGGCTAAGATGTCTCCTATTAACCACATCAACTGGATGCCCTGTCAGGAGTTGGATGTATATGTATCTTTACATGTCTAGTAAACTCGTAGAAAGGTCTAACACAAATTTTTTTGCAGGGCCCTGAGAATCCTCTTATGAAACGACTCATTCTAGAAACAGCATGAATTGCTGGACCCAGGAATAAAGCCTGAGTTAGGAAGGAGAAGCGGTGATTCTGTGCTGTGCAACCATTGGGTGCAAGTTTAATTCCAAGGGAGAGACAGTGCTATAAAATAAAAGATGGAAGACTTCTTCTCCTATATTCTGTAACACACTGGAGCCCAGGCAACACTGCTATGACATGCCATCATAACAGATAGCAACATAAAAGGGAGAGAGCCATTCTTCCACACTCTGCCCATGATGGCACCAGTTGGGCCTGGGGTGCACATGGTGCCCAGTGGCACTGACCAGAAACAATGGGAGGTTCCCTGGGACCCAGAAAAACAAAGTAGCAGCAGTCCTGGCCAATTTAGATACCACTTTAATATCTTTCCTTGCTGGGATTCTCATAAATATCTGGGAGGAGACTTGGTAGAGGTTTGGACTTCCGTGTCTGATGAAGAAGTGAAATTTGGGTATTGATGTCAATGTGGTTCTATTTTCATCCTGAGGCTGGTAAGCTCTGAAGAAATTTCAAATTACAACCATAATATGTCAGGAGGTAACCTAGAGAAGAAGTAAAGCACTGTTTGGGAAATACAGGGCTAATTCAGTTTGCCTGGAACTTAGAATCTATGGAAGTTATTGGAGAAGTTATTGGCATGAAAGGTAGGTTCCTTCAAGGTGCTATGCTACCAACCCAGAAGGACAGGCTAAGGGGTATGGACTTTTAAGACTTATTCAATAGGAAAAGGAGAAGTGCTGAAAATGTTTTAACATACAATGGCATGCTCAAAACTGTGTTTTAGGAAGATTAATTTTCCAGCAAGATCAAAAAATATCATAAAATGGAGAGAGCAAATGAAGATCAGAAAACAAGTTCAACCACCTCTAAAAGAGTCCAGGTTAGCCGAAATAAGGGCAGTCGCTATGGGATTGATTCAAGAGCAACTGTGAAGTAGAATTGATGAGGACTTGGCATTACATCAGACACATCACTAAATGATGTTTGCAATCACACAATATACCCATGTAACAAACCTACACGTTTACCCCCTGAATCTTAAATAAAAGTTGAAATTATTTTTAAAAAATAAAATAAAGGGCAAATAACTGATTTCATTCACAATGAAAAAAGTTTCCAAATAATGATATGCTATGACTTGCTAATATATATTAAACTTTCTGAAATTTAATGCAATTGAAATTGAATCCATAATGACACCTGGAAAATCTGTACCTATTAAATTCTTCAGTGTTGTCATAACTTGAGTATGAAAGCCCTAAAAGAGAAAAACTTTCTTTATATACATCCTACTTTTTTTTCTTTTTATTTATTTAAAAGGAAAAAAATGTCCTTAAAAGAGAGGTTAAAATATGTCATTTTCCAGACCTTCAGATTGCTACACTGGTCACGTGAAGAGAAATCTGAAAACTATACAGGTGTCTTGTTCTAAAGAATCTGGGAAGTCAGACTTCAAGCGTCATTTCTCCAGATTCTGTGTGTTGGGGATTGGAGTGGGAGTTGAAATAGGTCCCTAATCACACATCTATGAGACATCTGGGGGTAAGAACTGTGAATTTCATGATATTATAGGCTATGAGATTGTTTTATATACTGGCTATTAGACCTAGGGCCCTGTGAATAGGCTGAGAGTGAGGGCAAGCCTCAAATCTTCCTGAAAGATGACCACTGGCTCTGTTTTGAGATGGCAATTTCCCTAGTTCAGAGAAAAGGGATTTATACATCAATTGAATAAATCATTCTTCAATTAAGTGATTCCAAAACAAGATGAAGAAAGCAGCCTCTCCAATAAACTTAATAATTACACCATTCAAGGGTACATCTCTCCTGTTGGAAAGCCATTGCCAAAGATTAACAGAATAGCTGGTGTCCACTTGCTGAGCAGCATTCCTGTAACCTGTGTCCCAGGATTATGATGTGGTGAGAAGACCCGCTACGTAACAAACTGGAGGAGGAGGAACTCTTCTAATTTCTTTGAACTTTAAGAGTTATAAATAAATGTGTCTTTTAACCATGGGGCTTTTTATTTACTTTTGTTTTTATAGGTAAATATGCTTCTTGTAAAATAGAATACAACAAAATATAAATGTACAAAAACTTGCTTCCTATTACCCACTCTCACCCCCAAACTCCTCTCTCTTTCTGTCTTTTTCTCTTCCTCTTCCTCTCCCTCTCTCTCTCTCTCTCTTTTTTTTTTTTTTTTTTTTTTTCTGAGATGGAGTTTCACTCTGTCGCCCAGGCTGGAGTGCAGTGGCACGATCTCAGCTCGCTGCAACTTCCACCTCCCGGGTTCAAGCAATTCTCCTGCCTCAGCCTCCCCAGCAGCTGGGACTACAGGCACCTGCCACCATGCCTGGCTAATTTTTGTAATTTTAGTAGAGACGGGGTTTCACCATGTTGGCCAGGATGGTCCTGATCTCCTGACCTCGTGAGCCACCCACCTCGGCCTCCCAAAGTGCTGGGATTACAGGTGTGAGCCACTGTGCCCAGCCTGTTTATTATTAATATGTATAGCTCCACCTTGTTCTTTTGAGTTGCCACATAACATTCTACAGTGTGAACACATCCTATTTACTTAACCTTTCCATTATTAACAGACATATAGGTTTTCTCTAGTTTTCACTTTTACAAACAATACTGCCCTGAACATCCTTGCAGGGACAACTTTGTATACTGCTGTAAGTCTTCCTGTAAGACAAATTCCTAGAAATGGAATTGCAAAACTCTCCTCCCTTGTGAACAACACTCCATTCTGATTAATCCACAGGCTACCATACTGGCCAAATGTCAATTGTCCCAGCCTTAAAAGTCAGGCATCCAGTAGTTCTCTCCCCACTCTCCCTCCACCTCTTACTTCCTTCTGCATGCTGCCACTAGCTGGTCCTGCTTGAGGCAGCTCGTTTCACAGTCTACTAGTTTTATGTGCAGAGGATCTGGCTGAGCAAAAAGAAGCAAGAATTGGTGCCATAAACATAAAACCAGCTTTCAAAACAATGATCTGAGAAATAGGCTACTGAGAAATAATAGGCAATGAAATAGGTACCTTTAGATCATAAAGTAGACTAAATGGCTTCGTATAGTCCCCATTAGCTCTATTTTGATTCTTTGCCTCATTGCTTCAAATGCTGAGTACTGGGTAGAAGGAGGAATTTCTAGATGTTTTGGTAGATTATCTTTTCTAACTGATAAATTTTTTAAATTGGGCAACTTTTTCCTGATGTTTTCACCAGGAGAAACAGATGGACTGGTACCAAGTATTCACCATAGACACCATACCTCATTTAATCCTCAAAACACTCCTGGGAAGGAGTAGATGATGTAACTGAGGCTCAGCGATGATTAGGTGACTTTCCTGCTATTGAATGAGTCTCAACATTCTAAAGCATGTCACCCCTATGCCAAAGCCCATGTTTCTTTCACTATTTGATAAAAGTGTCATAGTCTTAGCCCAGACCACTTTCTCCAGGTAAGTCGTCAAACAATCTTTTACTAATGCATCTCCTCCCCAGGATAAGGAAGGAACCAAAAGACAGAATAGTATTTTATTTCTGAGCTGGACTCTTGGTCTGTTTTTTGCATTTATTTCTAACAATTATTTGCCATATTTTTGCATCATTGCTATGGTATTTTCTTCCTCATCTTGCTCATATGTGGGTAACTGTCCCAACATTTTATTTGCTCTGATACAATGTTGGTGACTTCTTTACTTTTGTTTTCTAATGAGCTGATATTAAAATAACAATGGAAGAGAATGTTGAAGTTGTTTGCTCTAGATTTAGGGATTAAATTTTTAATATTCCTAGTACCAGTTTTCTCTAATTACTAGAAAAACACCATACTGGCCATAGAAAGAGCCCCCTAGAGGCTAATTGGCATTTATTTGTTTCTGTTGGAATTCAGATCCCCTCTATAGACAGATAAAAGGATAGAAGATAAAAGGAGTTCAGATTCACAGTCTACAAAGTCATAAAATTTATACTGGCAAAATGTAAGAATATACAAGAAAGATTTCGATACATTTAAGAATGATAGCTCCAACAAGGAACTATAAGGAAGATATTAAGAATTTCTTGGTTATTATACATAAACAGAGACTGACAAGAAAAAGAACAACTGCCATATGCTCCCTCCCCTCATAAGTGCCTCGTGGTGAAACTGAGTAGTAATATGATCGATCTGAGACAGAATGGTATTTTTTATGTCCACATGTGTTCCCTTTACTTGCTCTGGCATTAAGGTTCTCTCTATCCAGTGATGCAATAGACAGTTGCTGGTTTTGCAACTCTATGCACT
Source organism: Homo sapiens (assembly GCF_000001405.40). NCBI lineage: Eukaryota > Metazoa > Chordata > Mammalia > Primates > Hominidae > Homo > Homo sapiens. The sequence goes on along the minus strand of NC_000011.10, from coordinate 34,416,955 downwards.
CTACATTTTGTAATATCATCCTAATTTTGCTTTGTAGAGTTATTCCCTCCTCTACTCTACCTTTTATTTACACTTGAAGTCTATCTGCACCAAGTCAGAATGAAACCTAAGCTAATGGGTGCATTCTGTTGCTCCTGCCATAGCAATACATTTACAGATAGACACGTGATCTAACCCAGTCCAATCAGAAACAGAGAGGCTCAATTACAGGACTTTTGTGTAACTTTTCATGAGAAAACAGACTTTCTGGCTGGGCAAGGTGGCTCAAGCCTGTAATCTCAGCACTTTGGGAGGCTGAGGCAGGTGGATCACCTGAGGTCAGGAGTTCGAAACCAGCCTGGCTAACATGGTGAAGCTCCGTCTCTACTAAAAATACAAAAATTAGCTGGGCATAGTGGCGGGCACCTGTAATCCCGGCTACTTGGGAGGCTGAGGTGGGAGAATTGCTTGAACCTGGGAGGCGGAGGTTGCAGTGAGCCAAGATTGCGCCACTGCACTCCAGGCTGGGCAACAGAGTGAGACAGACTCCATCTCAAAAAAAAAAAAAAAGAAAGAAAGAAAAAGAAAAAAGGAAAACAGACTTTCTCAACAGACTTGAATCTGAGAGGATGCAAGGCCAGAACAGCTGTAGCCATTTTATTGCCACATAGAATCTGAGAATAAAACTAACACATGGGGAAATGCAAAATAAAGCCAAGAGCTGGGAAGAAACTAAGACATGCTGATGATGTGTTTTCAGTCCTCAGTCTAGTTTCATCCTATCTACCTAGATATTCAGCCTGGATTTATTATTTATATTATCCAGTGCATTTTCTTCTTTAAGCTAATTTGAGCTGGGACTTCTGGTCACTTGCAACTGTAAAAGTCTCAAGTGATACAGAAATGCCCAGAAGTAGGGCATTTTTAAATGACAGGTTCTAAGATGTAGAATTAGCTGAACTGAGGTGATGTGGAATACATTCAACCCACCTAAACTACACTACTACTATTTTTGATAGGAAACACACAGGATGTTAGAATGGATCGTCTAACCTTGGTTATTTCAATAAGAAATAGAAAAGCTTAAGTTGGAACTGGTCCTTGTGAAAGTACAGACTGAAGAAGATACCTCTTTGCCTCGGAAAGCTCACCCTTTTCGGCATGTAATAGAATGTGGAGGCAGAATCCAAGTTCAACTGAGGGCTGGACAATGGACAAAGCCCTGTCCTATTTTTAGGAGAGAGAAAGTTTCAGGCTGGATTATAGAGTCAATGATTAACTAGTCATTGGTTATTTGGCACTGGAGTTCAGTAAACAGAAATAGGTTGAAATTCATTTTGTTTTAAGAAATGTATATTTCTAGAGAAACTCATGCTTGGCAAACTACAAGAACCCATGATTATTTGTCCATTAAGGCAATCCATCGACTCCTAAACCAATGAATTATGAAACAGACTTGTAATTGTTACAGCCCCCATGATAGCTTTCTCCCCAAATCCCTTTTTAGACGTGGCCACATTTGTCAATCAACAAGGTATGCCCTCCTGTAAATACGCCTTAAGTAAACTAGATTGGCTGACCCCAGAGCTAACATTTCTGGCAAGAAAAGGGAATCTTATTACTCCTCTTCATTAAGATTATGTGCTATAAAATGGTGGCCACTGTGTAATGTTTCCTATATTCCCTTTTTCCAAATGAGTTTAAATTATTTTTATTGTAGTTACTCTTTCCTTTTCTATCATTCTATATTGGGATAATCAAACATCATTCAGCAGTAATTCATCCAACCATGTAGAGCAACAAGAGCAACATTCATGTCCAACTGAGAGAACTGAACGCCGCTGAAGAATCTGTATGTTGAGGTTAGATCGAGTCACTTGATAATACTTTGGGTGTTCTTCTTTCAGGGGAAGGGGAGAGCTGGATGACAGGAACTAAAATCATCCCCATGCATAAAAGAGAATCATATCCAATGTCACACTGTGAAATAGGAGCTGAGGCAGAACTTGCCCACAGGGAAAGGGGGCATCGTTAACTGTGTATATGTGGTGGCTGGAGACAGAGAATGCCATGTGGACAGAAGCTGACAAGCTCCCTGACAGCTGAATGAGTGGATCTGTTGTCTCTACTACCGTTGCAGGACAGGAACCCTAAATTTCCAACTGTACACCTAGTTCTAGATTGCAGGTCCTGAGATTAGTGGAAGATAACTTCGAAAATGCCAAACAGGATAGAATTAGCATAGCGAAGAAGACAAGAAATTTCCACTCAAGATAAAAATGTGAATAAAAATTTCAGAGCAAGGAAAGAGAATGAACACAAAGAGCCAGCCAACAAACTTAATTATGGAGAAATTAATTCATGGCTCTCAAAATACAATTGTAGGCCAGGCATGGTGGCTCACGCCTGTAATCCAAGCACTTTGAGAGGCCAAGGTGGGCAGATCATGAGGTCAAGATTCAAGACCAGCCTGGCAAACATGATGAAACTCTGTCTCTACTAAGAATACAAAAATTAGCTGGGCGTGGTGGTGTGTGCCTGTAATCCCAGCTACTCGGGAGGCTGAGGCAGGAGAATCACTTGAACCCAGGAGGTGTTTGTCACAGTGAGCCGAGATCGCACCACTGCACTCCAGCCTGGGTGACAGAGCAAGTCTCTGTCTCAAAAAAAAAAAAAAAATACAATTGTAAACTGCACTCAAAAAATCACTTTAAGTATGTACATTTAAGAACTTCAAGAAAATAAGTGAAGCAATAGCATGCTTTACAATCAACAAAAAAAGTAGGGAAAAGGCAGATTAGATTAAGAACCAATGGACATGAAAAATAACCAATTGAAAATTCTGTAAATGAAAAATATAGTCATAGAAATACAAACATTTTATGAATTGGATATACAGGTGGTCCTCACTTTGCACAGTGTTGTGCTAGCCAAACCTCATGCAACCATGTCTTCACTTTGCATGATTCTGTGATAACTGAGGACAGGGTTCTGATATGCATAGGTTTCAGTTAACATAGCATCATGCAAACCAAGGATGGCCTGTACTCTGGCCTGGGCAAAATAAAAAACTGAATTAGTGAATACTGGAAACTAGCACAAAAATTTGATGATAAATACAGACCAATAAAGATATTAAAATATGAATGAGAAATGAAGAGAAATAGAGATTAGATTAAAGGATTTTACTAAATGTATAATATATGAGGCTCTCCAAAAGAATAGAACAATATTGAAAGACTGGTAAAGGATTAAGAATTGAAGAAAAATGTCAGATTTTTTAAGTGCCTATTAAATGATAGAAAGGATAAGTGAAATAAAACCTAGCTTGACAAAGCAAAGGTAGCACAGTTATGGAACGAAAGGATAAAAAAAAATCATAAAAGCTAACAGAAAAAAAGGACAAAAATCTTAGAAAGTAAAAATTATACTTATAGCAGACTCCCCTTTCCCAGCAATACATGCCAAAAGACAATGAAGTAAGGTCTTCAAAGTGCTAAAAAGAAATTACTAATAAAATGTAATTTTATACCCAGCTAAAAATCATTCAAGAGCACTTACATAATATAGACATTTAAAACCTACAAAACTCCACTGATGCTTGATAAAAGAACTACTCAAAGACATACTATAGCAAGGAAAAGAGTGAACCCTTGGAGAGGAATGCAATAAAGAACAAATAAAGCCTATGAAAGAGATGTCAGTGAAACCATGCAGAGAATTTGATGTCTGATTTCTAAAGTTCATAGATGTCTGACTCACATATGAGAAAGCTAAAGTAGCCTGGGACAGCAGAGTAGAGGCTATGTCTGGGAAGCAATGGACTCACCTCCAACCATAGGACAGAGGTGCATGAATCCAAGGGATTAAATAGGGATCTGGAATAGCTATGTCAAGGGAGCAAAAATCAAACAGAATTAGTAGAGAAATCCTCAAAGAGCCTGTAAAAGTGCTCATGAGAGAAAGATTTGTTCTTAAATACCTGTCAGGTCCAGAGAGCCCAGAACAATCTTTTAATAGTTCTGGTCAAGAATTTTCCAATCCCCATTTCCTTTCTCCCTCCTCTTGCTTTAACACAGGTGGGGAAGGCAAGAGCAATGGATGGATAAAGGAAGAAGAAAGAGAGGAGCTCATGATGTCTTTCCTTCCCAGATGGCATGTTCTTGTCTGCACCAGACGCTGAATGGGAGAAGAGCAAAAACACAAATACCACATTAAGATGGAAGTTTCACCTTAAAGTAATCATAACTCTTTTGTTTGTTTGTTTGAGACAGGGTATTACTCTGTCACCCAGGCTGGAGTGCAGGGGTACAATCACTTCAGCCTCAACCTCCCAGGCTCAAGCAATCCTCCCATCTCAGCTCCCAGAGTAGCTGGGACTATAGATGCTCCATCATGCCTGGCTAATCTTTTTTTAATTATTATTATTACTTTTTTTTTCAGAAACAGGGTTTCACCATGTTGCCCAGGCTGGTCTCGAACTCCTGGGCTCAAGGGATCTGCCAGCCTTGGCCTCCCAAAGTGCTGGTATTACAGGTGTGAGCCACAGTGATTGACCCATAACATTTTATTATCTGTAACCATTGACTACCCAAGTTTTCGACCAGGAGTAGGGAAAGGATCACCCTCACTGAGAAAGTTCAGCGAGAGACAAAAATGAAGTTGCTTTTGGCTTTTACCATAACACCCTGGTTCAACACTAATTTCAAATACTGCTAGTAGTTGGGGCCACAGATCTAAAATAGGCCCGTAGGCCCTGCCTTCACTCCTTCATGTGGCAAAGAAAACTGCTCAACCTACACAAGCAGAATATCTCTTTTCCCCTTCATGTCCCAGTTCCCCAAAAAAGGGAGGAAATCTTTCCCTCCCATATCCAACACCCCTTTTCTACTCCAGGATGATCAATGGTGGGAAAAGAAAGCATTTCCTTAAGAGAGAAATTCACTTCCTTCTCCCCACAGGAGTATATAATCTGACCGATGACTCAGACAAGAAAATGATGAGTCCAGAGTGAGTGACAATCCAGAGTGAGTTTCCCAAAGTTGTTTAGTCTTAACTAACACTTCACACAGAACATTCCTAGTTCAGTGCAGGTTGAGCTTGAAAGTACAACCAAATCTTTGTCATGGTATCTCCCGCCATGTGAAGTGGAAACAATCAGACCATAGTCCCTCCTTACATGGCCTCATTTCAGATTTTAACCTGGGTTTTAATCTCCTGTCAATTTACACATGAAGATATTAACATCCTCTGAGAACAAGTAATTGTCAGACATGGAATATTCAAATTCAAGAATAAGAAATAAAAAATATGTCTACGGAGGCATGGTTTTAAAGATGGACCCAAATTATATTCCTAAATACCTATCTGGGATAAGAAAAACACAGGTTTTTCTTATCTTTCACTCTCATTCTCATATCACTTCTGACACCAGATGTATGGGGACAGTTTCCCCTATATATTAAGCAATTCTCCAAAGAACACCAGCTGGGTGTCCTACAATTTAAGTCAATTCTGACACTATCTACTTGGAGACAGCATCAGATCCCACAGGTTAAGGGCTCAGTCTCACAAGTCTGCCCCACTTCAAATGCCAATTGCAAACCCCAGGCTGTGACCTGTGCTTCTAACCAACTGGCTATAAATCAGAGTTCCCCTGATATCTTCCTCAGGTTTGATTATTTTTCTGGATGACTCACAGAACTCAAGGAAACACTTAACACTTACCAGTTACCATAAAGGATATTACAAGGGATACAGATGAACAGTTAAATGGAAGAGGTGCGCAGGGCGAGGCATATGGGAAGCGGTTTGGAGAGAGTCCATGTCCTCAATAGGCATGCCACCCTCCTGGTACCTCCATGTATTCAACAATCTAAACCCAGTTCTTTGGAGTGTTTTTACAGAAGCCTCATTATGTAGGCATGATTGTTTACAATCCCTGGCCATTGGTGTTCAATTCAGCTTTCAGTCCCTTGCCCCGTCCCCTCCCTGGAGGTTGGTGGGGTAGTCCCAATCATCTAATCACACCTTGGTCTTTCTAGTGACCAGCCCACATCCTGAAGCTATGTAGGGACTACTAGCCACCAGTCACCTCATTAGCATACAAAAGACACTCTTATTACTATGGACATTCCAGGGGTTTTAGGAGTTGTGTGCCAGGAACCAAGAGCAGAGACCAAATACATATTTCTTATTATAACACAATATCACAATACCATTTGATATCTTAATCTAGAGTATCGCCATTCAGGTCATTGTGTAAATAAAGGAAATCTATTCAAAAGTTTTTTGAAACATTAATTAAATTAAATTAATTTAATTTAATTTAATAAAGTAAATTAAAATTTTCACTTCCAGGCCAGGCGCGGTTGCTCACGTCTGTAATCCCAGTACTTTGGGAGGCCAAGGCGGGTGGATCACTTGAGGTCAGGAGTTTGAGAGCAGCATGGCCAACAGGATGAAACCCCATCTCTACTAAAAGTACAAAAATTAACCAGGCATGGTGGGGTATGCCTGTAATCCCAGCTACTCAGGAGGCTGAGGCAGGAGAATCACTTGAACCTGGAGGCAGAGCTTGCAGTGGGCCAAGATTGTGCCACTGCACTCCAGCCTGGGCCACAGAGGGAGACTCCATCTCAAAAAAAAAAAAAAAATCTTTTCCAAAAACAGATATTAGTAGCATTTTTAAAGTGACATTTCACTATCTAAAGAACTAAAACCATTAGTCTCGCCAAGCGTCCCATTATATCCATCTTTTCAGCATCTGGAGCATTGACATGCATGTCTATAGTGGAAACCTCGTCCTTTTGTCACATATACAGAGGACACCTGATTCACTGATTAGTGTTATGTGACAGGGTGACAACAAATGTAAATAGACTAAACCATCACATTTTCCTTCCCAAGTCCATTTTATCTTTTAAGGTTTGACCCAGTGTTTTTGTTGTTGTTGTTGTTTGTTTTTTTGTTTTTAATATACTATGACTAGCTTTTCAGCAGAAGAAATTTTGAATCTATCTCCCAAAATTATTTGATTCTTGTAGGCAACTAGTTCTGCTCTGCCCCTTGAGTATCAGCTATTGTAGATGGCGCAGGACTGTCACAAAATTTGCGGCTCAGGTTGTTCTCATGTTATCAAATGGTCCTTGACACTGTCAAGTTGGGTGGGTGTTGTGCCATTGCTTTTCCCCCATCTGAGGGTAGTGCCATTTATAAAAATACTCTGAAATCTCTAATCCCCGCAATGACCACTCCTAACTGCTGCCTCCTTGAGCTCAACAGAGATTTGTGCTCCAACAACTTCTCTTACTAGCACCATAGCATGGATCTTTCTTCCTTCCACTCTGTGAACCTCAATAGTATGGCACCGCCTTTATCCCTCAAATGTATTTTTGTTTGTTTGTTTGTTTGTTTGTTTGTTTTGGAGATAGAGTCTTACTCTGTCACCCATGCTGGAGTGCAGTGGCACAATCACAGTTCACTGGGAGGATCACTTGACCTCCCAGGCTCAAGTGATTCTCCCACCTCAGCTTCCCCAGCACATGTCACAACACCCAGCTAATTTTTGTATATTTTGTAAAGACACTACAGTTTAGCCACGTTGCCTAGCTGGTCTCAAACTCCTGGCCTCAAAAGATTCTCCCACCTTGACCTTCCAAAGTGTTGGGATTACAGGCATGAGCCACCATGCCCAGCCTCAAATTATTTTCATCTTCTCCTTAATTATTTCCATCCATGTTGTGGGGCCAGGGATTGCCTAACTCCAGACAGGCTGTCACTCTTTTCTCCTTTGACTTCTTAGGTAACATCACTTTTTATGCTTGAGGCTGGCTTTGAAATGTTAATATCTTGTTAAGACTCCAGTCACATTTGAATGAAAAGGGAATTTTATGGGTAGATCTGGAAATCTATTGCTTATATCATCATTTTCATGAGAATGAATATTTCAAGTTTAAATATAAGTGGAAGGAGCTAGCTAGGGCTACCAGACATTTTTGCCAAGTCAGCAGACCTGTTAGAGAACCCTAAAGAAGAAACAGAAAGTAAGAAAGAAACAAACAGAGCCCACAGAGAACATTCAGGGAACATTCAGGGATCCAATAATGGACGATGTTTCTCCAGTGGCTCTTATGTAAACCCCTATCTCCTGCATACACTGCTGCACCTCTCCTTAGGTTAAAGCCCCTTCTTTCTCCCAGCCTCTGTTGCTCCCTGCCAGGACCTTTGATCCTTTCCAGCTTCCACTGTGAGTTGGATCAATTACAGTGTGTCTCCAGGTCATCGCTTAGCTTACTTCACTTGACAACTGGACATTTTCTGCTTGCTCCTCCAGATTTAATCTCCATCCTCCTCCATTCTAATCTGTACTCTGTGAGTCTTTTTTTTTAATTGACACAAATAATTGTATATATTTATTGGGTAAAAGATGATGTGTTTTGAAATACGTGGACATTGTGGGATGGCTAAATCGACTAATTAACCTGTGTGTGGCCTCACATACTTATCATTTTTTTGTTGTGAGAACATTTAAAATCTACTCTTTTAGCAATACTCAAGAATACATTAACTATAGTCTCCATATCGTACAATAGATTTATTGAACTTTTCTTCCTGATGAACTGAAATTTTGTGTCCTTTGACCAATATCTCCCCAGCACTCTTCACCTGCAGCCCCTAGCAATCACCATTCTACTTTCTGCTTCTATGAGTTCAACATTTTTAGATTCTACATATAAGTGAGAATCTGTGCCTGGCTTATTTCACTTAACATAATGTCCTCCAGGTTCATCCATGCTGTCACAGATAACATGTGACACTTTGTAAGTTAGTTAATGAGATGTCAGTATGGTCCATCTAAATATTAATGGAAGGCAAGTGCTCCCCTACTGTTGAACTTCACTTCTGAAGGCAGGTATCAGAAAAATAAAGGAGGAAAAAACTACAATGTATCTAACTATGACTTATGTTATTGAGAAATTAAAGTGCATATTGAAGCTGTCAATCTCAACATTGCCAACCATCATTCAAACATAGGATGTGTTTATGATGAAGCATCTTAAAGCATCCTGGGAAAATTACAATGATGACTCCCAACTTTCCATTAGCTAGGAATGTAAAGAGTTACAAATATGTGTCCAACCATAAAGATATTTGACATGAATATGTTGAGCTCTAAACAAGAAAAGTAATTTTGGACAAAACAATATCATTAAATGCTGAGAGAAGTTCTTCTATTTTAATAACTGAATTTAGGAAAAACAAGTCCCTCTGCTATTTGCTGGCTGGATTGGGCTAAGGGCGGACCTGGTTTTTGTAACTCTCCCCACCCTTCTTGGGATGTGTCCAGCCCAGTGGGCAGCCTTGTTCTGGAATATCCAGTTAAGCTGGATTGCTGTGGGGGGTGGAGTTACAGTTGCACTTTTTCAACCTAAGAACAGGATGCACCAACACAATCCCTGATTTTCCTTAATTTTTCCAGGGCCTTGATCTTCTTTTGGGATCCACAGAAAACTACCACTGGCACATGGGGGAGTTGATGGTGATAAATTCCAAGGGTAACTGGGAAGAAAAACAACCAAGATCCACTGGAGAAGTCAGTTATTGTTAGGTCAGGCAACATCAACACAATAGACATCTGTTCCATTGAGAAAAAAGAACTCTGTTGAACTGATGAAGCTGTCAGCATAAGTCATGCTCTTTGGGCATGTCATAAAACGACCTGACCTTCAGAGAGGAGGCTGGGGTATCAGAATCCTCATTCCTACCATCAGTGGAATCTGTCATGGTAGAATTTCTTTCCCTGTGTGGTTCCCCCAAATGTACACTGATTATTAACTTTTAAATTCATAGCTTAGGAACTATAGGAGGATCTAGCTCTGCACTGAAAATAATGAAATTCTGCTGGCTAGCCAACCCTCAGTTGTTCCAGATTCAACAGGTTTCTATTGGGTATCTATGCATGCAAATACCAGAGGTTCAACAGTTAACAAGACAGTCATGATCCCTGTGCTATGGATCTTAAGATCTAGTTGTCCTCCTGTTAGCAATATCACCGTATCAAGAATCAATCAACTGTTCCCAATTGACTGAGCTGGAATGAACTGCCCAATCCCCTCCATTTATCAATTTAAAAATAACTCTGAATAGGTTATATCTGTGTATATAGGGTTCAAAACTAATTAAAAGAGAGGACTAGAACCCAGGTCTACTGACTCCCAGACCTTCCCTGTTTGTTGATACTCTGCCCTCCTTTCTACCTACTCCCAAAAAAAGCTTAATTTCCCATGTAGAGTCCTTACACTGGTAAATGTCTGCTGACACATGCAGGAGTCAATGATTATTGACTCTGGCAAAAGCAATACGTTGTCTAGTATATTTACCAACTACTAGAACACAGTGGTGACATAAATTTGTTTTTCATGAAACTTTCTCTATTTCTGAAAGCAAAGTCCACTAGAAAGCCGAACTCGTGGAAAGTATTTCACATAAAATTGTATTTGATGGACATACTTAAAGGGCAAATATTAAATTATGGCTTTAATCTCTATTCTTTTATATATGTCAAGAAAGCCTCATCAAATCTTACCTTTCATATGCATGAAATATTCCTTTAAAGTTGGCTTATCAGATTACTAAAAGAACTTCTGTACCAAAGATTTTTTTAAAATGTGCTAGGCTAAGACAACATTGTGAGATATATTTAGGAGTAGGAAAAAAGGCTGAATTTCCCTTTTTTTTTTTCCTTCTTCTCCTTTCAGGGATCCAGTGAACTCAATGTCCTTTAGTAAATGTACCAGGTAGAGCAGTTGAATTCATGAGAAAATCATCAAGTAGTCAATATTCTGGTTGTCTCAAAAGGATTTCTTTTTAAAAAAAGAAGACCCAAGGAAAACACTATCAATAGAAAGCATTGAATGCTCATAAGGAATTTAGGCAATACCAGGAAAGTGTGTTTGGGGTGAGGGGAAGGGTGAAGAGGGAGAAGTGGAGAAATGGGAGGGTAGAGGGAGAGAGAAGTGGAGAGATGGGAGGGGTGGAGAGAGAGAGAAGTGTGGAGATGGGATGGTGGAGGGAGAGAGAAGTGGAGAGATGGGAGGGTGGAGAGAGAGAGAAGTGGAGAGATGGGAGGGTGGAGGGGGAGAGATGGAAGATTGGAGGGAAAGAGAAGTGGAGAGATGGAAGGGTGGAGGGGGAGAGATGGAAGGTTGGAGGGAAACAGAAGTGGAGAGATGGAAGGGGTGGAGAGAGAAGTGTGGAGATGGGAGGGTGGAAGGAGAGAGAAGTAAGGAGATAGGGTGGAGAGAGAGAGAAGTGGAGAGATGAAAGGGTGGAGGGAAACAGGGGTGGAGGGAGACAGAAGTGGAGAGATGGAAGGGGTGGAGAGAGAGAGAAGTGTGGAGATGGGAGGGTGGAGGGAGAGAGAAGTGGAGAGATGGGAGGGGTCGAGGGAGAGAGAAGTAAGGAGATGAAACGGTGGAGGGAGAGAGAAGTGGAGAGATGGGGGGTTGGAGGGAGAGAGAAGGAGATGGGGGTGGAGGAAAAGAGAAGTGGGGAAATAGGAAGGTAGAGGGAGAGAGAAGTGAGGAGATGGGAGAGAAGGGAAAAGGAAGTTACTTTCACTTTTTCTCTCAATCCAGTGGGGAAGATGTTGATATCAGTCCTATGTCATGGATGAGGAAATTGAAGTTCACATTTGTCGCTTGCTGAAGGTCACGTGACCAGAAATGCAAAGCCCGATCTGACTCATATTCTCCTAATTATAAATGTTACGTGCTTTCTATTACTCAGGCATTGCTACTCTTTCGGTTGTGCCAGGAATGGCATAACCAATATTGTGTTTGATTCTCACAGCAACCCCAGAAAATGAATGTTACTCTAAATCTCAAAATTAAGAAACTGCCTCAAAGAGGTTAGGTCATTTTGCATAGGGCCCCACAGTAAAAACAGCATTTAGCAAATAAGTGGGGGCAAAGCTCTGCCCTTTTTGTTACTTCAGTGTTTCCAAAACACACTCTGGGGATTTGAGGTGAAGAAATGCCACAATATCCTAATCCCTTTGAACAAGGTGATCTTTACATAAAGTTTGATGTGAAGTGTCCTGAAAACAACTGGAACAACCCAGACAAACGTTCTCAACTAGAAGATCCGCTGCCATCTAGATCAGAAGTTTCAAACACAATTGGAGAAAAAGTGGCGGTAGAGCTTCAGGAATGTGATAACACTTGAGGCTGAGGAGGTGGTCAGAGGCATGAAGCCTAAATCATAGCTCTGATGAAGAAAACAGCAGCCCTCATGTTCCTGGAGGTGTGTGCCTGCCCATCCGCAAACACTGCAAATGAATTGCACAGGAGGACTTTCCTTCCACACTTGCCTGATTTGTTCTCAGCGATCCCACTGGAGTGTCCCATCAATCCAGATGAACTGATGGACATCCATTGGTCTCTGCGTAACTTTTAAAATTGGTATAGTATCTACAGCGTGTATAATTGAAACTAACCACAAAGCTTCACATCTTCGTTTCAACTGTTCCATAGCAGAATAAAGCACTTGAAAGGAAATAAAACTCCCTTTCACATGTAGATTATAAGTTTCGATCCTGATATCTGTGCTTGATTTTTATCAGTTTTGTGCAGACTTTATGTCTCATATTTTAAATTCAAATCCCATATTGTAAAGTTTGTACAATTTATCCTGAAGCTTTGTGTTTGGCTGCACCTGAATAAGCTGCTACAAATAGAAGAAAGAATCTCATAGCCTGTATCTATCATTTAGATGTATGGGAAAAATAGGTCTTGCACACAATGAGTTTGGAGCTGAGTAGGAACAATGGAAAAAAATGACATTAGCTGTGGTTGTAAAGTTTTTTGTTTGTTTGTTTTTTACCATCTTGTGAAAGGTTTCTGAAACTCAATAACAAAAAGCAGTTGGTGTTTTAAAAAAGTTCTATTCTTAGAAGCCTGAACATTCTCTTCAAGAATTTTTACATTTTATATTTTTAAAGATAATACTTAAAAATTAATGGAAGCTTATTTTGAATAGCCAAGTAATGCAACAAAGTTTCAGTATAGGCTTTGTACTCATGTTTATTTATACTAGTGGTAACAGTGCTTAACTTCTAATGTGCTGACAAACATGTTTGGTTGCTATTAGGTCGGCACATCCTCATGTCAAAATGACAGCAATGCTCTCACATTTGTACCTAATACCTATTAGGTTTCTTTGTACATTGCACCTAGATACCAGTTAGCCAGCTATCTAGCACTTATCAAAAAGAAAAGTGCTAGACAATCACAGGGCATAAAGTCGTAAGGGGAGCTGAATTCAAGCTATTACCCAGGTTAACCATTGCACCAAAAATTAGATAACATGATTGCTCAATATATGAGCCCTCAGCGGCCAAAAAAATTCACAAAGACAATTGAAAGCAATGTTTAAAAAAATGACTAAAAAGATTGGGCACAGAGGTTCATGCATGTAATCCCAGCATTCTGGGAGGCCAAGGCAGGCGAATCACTTGAGCCCAGGAGTTTGAGACCAACCTAGGCAATATAGGGAGACCCCGTCTCTACCAAAAAACAAAAAAAGAAGTTAGGTGTAGTGGCTCATACCTTTAGTCTTAGCTCCTCAGGAAGCTAAGGCAGGAAGATCACTTGAGCCCAGGAGATTGAGGCTGCAGTGAGCCATGGTCATGCTACTGCACTCCATCCTGGGCAACAGAGTAAGACTGTCTCAAAAACAAAAAATTATAAAATTATAAACTTCATTAAGGCTTGTTTGCTTCATTCTCATGTAATTATTAAATTCTATAAATCAATGGGCAGTGACCAAAAATAGCTTTTATTATGTTTTAGAGTATCTTGTCTGTCACACTAGACTTTGCTGTTTTTGCCCAAGTATCCTGTTTACCTACAGGTAGAAAAACCCTAATGTTTATTTGAGTATCCACCCCTCCTTTATGCAGCCCATGTCTCTAGCAGATACCGTATTAGACAGCATATTAGAACATTCCCATCATTGCAGAAAGTTCTGTTGGATACCACTGATCAAGATCGCAACTGAGATTATATACTATTTATTAACATATTTTATAAGCTTCAAAGCACTTCTTTAAAAATCCTCATTATTATTTATTTATTTATTTATTTATTTTTGAGACAGTCTTGCCCTGTCACCCAGGCTGGAGTACAGTGGTGTGATCTGGGCTCACTGCAACCTCTGCCTCCTGGGTTCAAGCAATTCTCTCACCTCAGTCTCCTGAATGGCTGGGATTACAGGTGCAACCACACCCAGCTAATTTTTTGTATTTTTAATAGAGATGGGATTTCGCCATGTTGGCCAAGTTGGTCTCGAACGCCTGACCTCAGGTGATCCACCTGCCTCGGCCTCCCAAAGTACTGGGATTACATGCATGAGCCACCGTGCCTGGCCTCCCTTATTATTATGATTATTAATCATTTTAAGTCACAGGAAGGGAGTAATTTTCTACAAATAAATGGAGTCCTGTACAGAGCATGGCTATTTCCAATACTAGCTTTTAACACTTTAATAAAATGATCATTACTCAATTACTATTTAATCTCTGTCCATCTTGAAGACTTGTTTAAAATAGAATAGCTTCCTCCTAGAACATTATACAATTCTTCAGCTCTAGTTACTTTGTGCCTTTCCTGATTGCCCAACTTAAATATTGAAAACTATAAAGATACTTAATCAGGGAGCTTTGCTTCGGAGTTAAATCAGCTTGACTTTGAACTGCCAAACAGATTAGGAATGGTATATAGATTTTAACTATTAAAGTCCTAGTTTTCTATCATAGAGCTTTTGATTTTAGAACTATAACAACACAAATTCCCTGGTTACCTAAACTCATTCTCCAAACTATCCATACACAGGAACTGAATTCATCTGGATAGCAAGGAATAATTGTATAAAGAATAAAGCATGCCCCCGAAAGTTTTCTCCTTAGAAGTCTCTCCCATAGGGCCAAGAAACAATATTGGCCAATGACATTCATTCCATAAGAAAATAGATATCAGTGCTTTTTTTATTTTACTTTACTTTATTATTATTTTTTTTTGAGACGGAGTCTCGCTCTGTCGCCCAGGCTGGAGTGCAGTGGCGCGATCTCTGCTCACTGCAAGCTCCGCCTCCTGGGTTCATGCCATTTTCCTGCCTCAGCCTCCCGAGTAGCTGGGACTACAGGAGCCCGCCACCACGCCCGGCTAATTTTTTCGTATTTTTAGTAGAGACGGAGTTTCACTGTATTAGCCAGGATGGTCT
The DNA here is from genome assembly GCF_000001405.40 of Homo sapiens. Taxonomy (NCBI): domain Eukaryota; kingdom Metazoa; phylum Chordata; class Mammalia; order Primates; family Hominidae; genus Homo; species Homo sapiens. The sequence goes on along the minus strand of NC_000011.10, from coordinate 34,401,694 downwards.
CGATCTCCTGACCTCGTGATCCGCCCGCCTCGGCCTCCCAAAGTGCTGGATTACAGGCGTGAGCCACCGTGCCCGGCCTCAGTGCTTTTTTTATAAGTTCTTTCTGTGCCTTTTAAACACATATTGAAGGGAGAGAATCAAGTGGTTCTGATGTGTGCAATGAAGTCATTTATACCAATGGCGATTTAAAATAACGTATTTAGAAATGCAATTAAAAATAAAGTTAAAAATAAAGGCCGGGCGTGGTGGCTCTCGTCTGTAATCCCAACACTTTGGGAGGCCAAGGTGGGCAGATCACCTGAGGTCAGGAGTTCGAGACCAGCCTGGCCAACATGGTGAAACCCCATCTCTGCTAAAAATACAAAAATTAGCCAGGCGTGGTGGCACATGTCTGTAATCCCAGCTACTTGGGAGGCTGAGCCACAAGAATCACTTGAAGGCAGAGGTTGCAGTGAGCAGAGACCACACCATTGCACTCCAGCCTAGGCAACAGAGCAAGACTCTGTCTCAAAAATAAATAAATAAATAAACAAACAAATAAATAAATTTTAAAAATAGACTATGGGTCGGGCACAGTGGCTTAGACTCTCCTGCTTCTGGCTCCCAGGTAGCTAGAACTACCACACCTGGCTGATGTTGATATTTTGACCACCTCCCATGAATCATGAATGTTCTTTTTTTTTTTTTTTTTGAGATAGGGTCTTTCTCTGACACCCAGGCTGGAGTTCAGTGGCATGATCTCGGCTCACTGCAATCTCCGACTCCCAGGTTCATGCAATCCTCCTGCCTCAGCCTCCCTAGTAGCTGGGACTATAAGCATGCACCACCACACCTGACTAATTTTTGTGTTTTTAGTAGAGACAGGGTTCTACCGTGTTGGCCAGGGTGGTCTCGAACTCCTGACCTTAGGTGATCCTCCCAACTTGGCCTCCCAAAGTGCTGGGATTACAGGCATGAGCCACTGTGCCCAGCCTATCATGAATGTTCTTAACGGCATCTAAAATTGTGAATTATTTCCAGAAGTCCTCTGATTTTACTGTGCCCAGATTCAGCAGAGGAATCACTATCTTTGGCAATTATAGCCTTACAAACTGTATTTCTTAAATAATAAGACTTGAAATTTGAATTTACTTCTTCATCCATGGGCTGCAGAAGAGATGTGTTAACAGGCATAAAGACAACATCAATATCTTTGTGGATCTCCATCAGAGCTCTTGGGTGACTAGGTATGTTATCAACGAGCAGTAATATTTTGAAAGAAATACCTTTTTCTGAGCAGTAGGTCTTAACAGTGGGCCTAAAATATTCAGTAAATCATGCTGTAAACAGATGTGCTGTCATCCTGGTTTGACTGTTCCATTTATAGAGCACAGGCTGAGTAGATTTAGCATCATTCTTAAGGGCCCTAGGACTTGGGGAATGGCAATTGTGCAGGGCTACACCAGCCTTGTCCCTGGGTCCATCCTCCTAATTGTAGCCTATGGTGCTGGTAGGCATATCACTAGGACTAAGGTTTGCCTAAAGAGTGGCTGCTTGAAAGCAAATGGGTAAAACCTAGACATGCCCCAATGTCCACTAACACACGTAAGGCCCTTCATGTTGTAAAACAATGGAGGAAGGGGCATGGAAAAAAATACGGGGTGGACTATGGGTGGAGGTTGGAGGTGGGAGTTCAGCTCTCCCCATACTGCCGAATTCCAGAGGAAAACTAGAAGTCTCAGAATTCTAAATTTCAACTTCATGATAACTTCAGGTTATCATGAAGCCAAATTTGGCAATGCAGGAGAACGGTACATATTTTATTTAATAGTTTATTATCTGTTTAGACAAGGGATATGTGAGCCTCTATATTTATTCCTGCCCTGACCCTGGCCCCACAAATGTTAGGGGCAGGTCTGTACAAGGAAGACAAACCTCAAGTGAGATCAAGGGTCCTGTGGGAGCTGGAACTGGACAGAACGAAATCTCACCAGGAATGTGCAGAAATTCTGGCAAGGCTGTTCAATATGTGGTTTGAGCTGACATCTGGGTTACATTTAAATATTTGGAAAATATCAAAATAAGATAAGGCAAAATATGATAACACTGTACTCCATAAAAAGATGGTCTCATCCCCAGAAAACTTAAAATCGAATTAAAGAACATGGAAACAAAGTCAAAAACTACATTAGCAACAATTTATTTTATATTTTAAAGGATGAGAGGGACTATTGAATACACAAGCAAATTACATGCCACCTAAAACATCCAGAGTATTACATCTCGTTTTAGTTTTCCAGGTAATAGAGAAATGGTAAAAACCAGGTAATTGTCAGATATTATTTCGGTGGTCTGTGCCTGAATTTTCAACACAAAGCGTTAAGATGAGATGAGATTATGAAACCACAGTCACACCTCCATGTACACAGAAAACCACGGTGCCATAGGTTTTCTTCACAAGGCCATAGGAAGTCCTGATCAGCCAAATTCAGATCATACTTGCTTTCAGTGCTCATCACATTTTATTTTATTTTATTTTATTTTTTTTGGAGATGGAGTCTTGCTCTGTTGCCCAGGCTGGAGTGCAGTGGCGCGATCTCGGCTCACTGCAAGCTCCACCACCTGGGTTCACGCCATTCTCCTGCCTCATCCTCCTGAGTAGCTGAGACTACAGGTGCCCGCCACGACACCTGGCTAATTTTTTGTATTTTTAGTACACCGTGTGTTTCACCATGTTAGCCAGGATGGTCTCGATCTCCTGACCTCGTGATCCACTGGCCTCGGCCTCCCAAAGTGCTGGGATTACAGGAGTGAGCCACCGCGCCTGGCCCAGATTTTCTTTCTTATTGGCTAACTTCAGTGGCAAATGGAGACCAAGTTTGGCCAGGTTAATTAGGGGCAGCATGCAATGTACAGAGCATTGGTATAGAAGCCAAACTCCCTGAATGTTAGTCTCAGCTCTGAACCCTAACAATCTGTGTGACCTTAGGAGGCCATTAAACCTCTCTGTGGCTCATCTTTATTTTATTTTAATTTTCTTTTAGACAAGATCTCATTTTGTTGCCCAGCCTGGAATGCAATGGCACAATCATAGTTCACTGCAGCCTTGAACTCCTGGGCTCAAGCCATCCTCCTGCCTTAGCCTCCCCAGTAGCTAGACTATAGCCATGCACCACCATACCTGCCTACTACTTTTTTTTTTTTTTTTTTTTTTGCAGAGATGGTAGAGGGGGGCCTGGATCTGCTGCCCAGGCTGGTCTCGAACTCCTGGCCTCAATCAATCCTCTGGCCTTGGCCTCCCAAAAAGTTGGGATTACAGGCATGAGTCACTGTGCCCAGCCCTTCATCTTTAAATTAATGTGATTATGAAGCCTTAGGCATAAACATTCTATGGGATATATGAGTATGTTATTATTTTGTCTCTTTAAGTACAGCTGCTGATGGCATTACTTTCTATCACCAAAAGAACTGACATTTATATCACAGAATAAAAGAGGACACATAAACCAATTCTCATTTCTACTGGGGATAATATTGAAACTAGAGTTCAGAAGGAATCTGTATCAGTTATAATTAGTTGAGTTGGAATTAGAAAGTCCATGGATAAGCAAGGTTTTTAGGTGCACTTCTTCCTAGGTTTAATTTCAACAAAAGAAAATGCTTGCCCTTCTCAGTTACGTGAAGTCTAGGATCTTGTTTTAATTTCCCAAGAGCCCCCATGAGGTAAGTATTATTATTCCTTTATTAAATGTAAGTACCTGCTTCATGAAGTGAATTTAAAATAAAACCATGCATAAAAAAGTACTCAGCACGATCCCTGGTACATAATAAAAGCAATAAATGTTAGCTATTTTATATACATTCATACATATATATTTATATCTGTATATTATGCATATCTCATTTTTATTATGCATAATGTATTACATATGTTTTATTATCTGCACTAGTGGCTTTCAAATTGTGCTCCAAAGAAACAAAGGTTTTCATGGGATCTACAAACAATGAAATATTTGTCACTAATTATAAAAATTAATGAGGAGCATACTTATTGATTTTTTAAAATATATTTTATGTATTGCATGATCTGTGTAAGACTGCTAGAACAATGCATTTTGCTGCTAAAACTAGATTTTTAAACCACTGGTATAATATTCCAATCCATTAATTTTACTGGTGATAAAATGAAAACACGGAGAGCTGAGTTTTTTTAATTTTTGGCTTTGAACACGTTAATATATCTGTTAGGACATATTCAGTTGCAAATAACAGAAAATCCAAATTATCTGCCTTAAATAAGAAAGGCAAATTATCAATAACATAACTAACAGGCAGGTCCAAAAAGAGGGTCTAACTCAAAGTTGGCTTCATTCCACAGCCCAATGACATCATCATGGCCTGTCTTATCTGCTTTCCCCTGTGAGTTTGATCCTACACCTGGCTTCCCTCATGGATGCAACATGGCTGTAACTGTTCCAGGATTTAAAACCATCACAGGTCATTTACAAAGACAGTATGTTTGAATGTCAGCATTCCAAGTGAGAATTCTAACATTTACCCTGTTTAATTAATTTGAGTCTGAACCAATTACTGTTTCCTGGGGAATTGAATATGCCCTCCAGGGGACACCCTGGAAGTTGAGTTGGGTGTTGCTCAGCTTCCTCCAAAGCACACTGGTTTCAATGGATAGCTTATGTGCTCAAACAAAAGCCTGGGTATGGTTAGAAAGGAGAAAGAGGGAATGATCACTTGGTAGACAACGAACAAATGTGTCCTAAACTATGTGACTTTGGGTAAATTACTTCCCTTCTCGTACATATAGAATAAGATATTGGATTTGATGAGTGATTGCAAATGTGAATATGCAGCCAGGCTTGGTGGCTCAAGCCTGTAACATCAGCACTTTGGGAGGCCGAGGCGGGTGGATCACCTGACGTCAGGAGCTCGAGATCAACCTGATCAACATGGAGAAACCCCCGTCTCTACTAAAATACAAAGATTAGCTGGGCATGGTGGCAGGCACCTGTAATCTCTGCTACTTGGGAGGCTGAGGCAGGAGAATCACTTGAACCTGGGAGGCAGAAGTTGCAGTGAGCCGAGATCATGCCACTGCACTCCAGTCTGGGGAATAGAGTGTGGCTCGGTCTCAAAAAGAAAAAAAAAAAAAGAAAGAAAAAATTGGTAAATGTAATTTCCTAAATTTAAGCTCCTTTATCTAATCCCAGCAGAACTTTTGAAGCATTATCCCTGAATAATGATTTGTAATTGAACATGCCCCAGAGGCACATACAAGTAGAAGAATATACAATGTGTCACATAGAATGTGAGTCAGCAGGAAACCTAAATAAAACAAGGATTAGTACCAGCTTGCCCAGTTGCTCAGCCTTCAACAATGGCGTGAAGCCATTTCTGAATTTAGCTTCCCTGTAAATAGCTGCCTAATTCCAGAACCTCACATTAAGGAAGTTGGTGCATTATTTGGTTGGCAACAGTGGCATAGTGAGGGTAAAAGGCCCCAGGAGCCATGTAAAATATTTATGCCTTCACTATTTCAATGCTGCTACTTGAAGTGCTAGATTTTGCAGCATCTAGTGCCTTGTGGACTCCCATAAATCAGATCCCTGTATGTCTCACTGTGACCCATCTTCTCTTTTCTCTGATTGTCAGTGTCTGGTAGAAATGATCCCCTCAGAGAACTATTATTGGAGAACAAAACTCTACTATCATCCAATTATCAGTGCATAACTTCTTTTTTTTTTAAGACAGGGTCTGGCTCTGTCTCCCAGGCTGGAGTCCAGTGGCACGATCTCACTCACTGCAAACTGTGCCTTCATGGCTCAAGCGATTCTTGTATCTCAACCTCCTGAGTAGCTAGGACTACAGGCGTGAGACCCCATGCTTAGCTAATTTTTTTATTTTTAGTAGAGATGGGGTTTCACCACATTGGCCAGGCTGGTCTCGAGCTCCTGACTTCAGGTGATCTGCCCAACTCGGCCTCCCAAAGTGCTGGGATTACAGGCGTGAGCCACTGTGCCTGGCCACATTTACCAATTTTAATATCCTTGTATTTTAGAATTCGGTGTCTAGCGGGCAATAGGATCATCATGGCAGATGGGAGGCAAGACTAGATTGCAGCTCCGGACATAGAAGCTTGCGGAGACACACGTTGTGAATTTTAGCTCCAAATTAACTGTAAGAACAAACCAGCAATCCCAAGAGGACCCACAGACCCTCTGAAGGAAGCGGACTGCTCCTGCAGGACATGGGAGACACCCCAAATACTGTGGGTGCCCCAACTGTGGAAGTGGGAAAGGGAGAGCCTCCTCTCCTGAATACACACCCCCCCACTGGAGAAGCTGAAAGTATGTTTGCAGGAGAAGTTTCCAACTTTACCTAGAGCTGAGTCAATTTAGAGAGCCGAGCAAAATATAGGGGTAGAGGAAGCAGCAGAAAGGCCCTGGTAGCTCACTGGGTCCCCGAGAGGGCCATTCCTGCCTGGCACCATGGGGATCCATCGGCAGAGCAGCCAGAGGAGTGGGGTTGTGGGGGTAAAACTCCACAGGGAGAAGGAAATCTCTAGCTGAACTGTGAAACGATTTGAATAGGGCGAAAAGCCTCCTGGCCAGAACTTGGGGGAGGGCACAAATCCAGTGTGCAGATTCCACAGTTGGGGGAAGAACCAAGCCCTTTCCTTTCACAGCTGGGAGGCTGTAGCCTGAAGCAGGTTTTCAAGCCTGTCTTGCCCTCTGCCTGGAAACAGACTTGGGGCTATTGGGGTTGGGGTGGGGGCACAGTGGGAGTGAGACCAGCCCTTTGGTTTGCATGGGAGCTGGGTGAGGCCTGTGACTGCCGGCTTTCCCCAAGTACCCTGACAACCTGCATGACTCAGCAGAGGCAGCCATAATATTTCTTAGGTATACAATTCCAGTGACCTGGGAATCTCACCCCCATCTGCCACAGCAGCCATAGCAAGACCCACCCAAGGAGAGTCTGAGCTTAGACATGCCTAGCGCTGCCCCCAGCTGATGGTCCTTCTCCTCCCACCCTGGTAGTAGAAGACAAAGGGCATATAATCTTGGGAGTTCTAGGGCCCCACCCACCACCACTACCTCTCCATACTACCACAGCTGATGATCTCTGGAAAGTACCACCTCCCAGCAGGAAGCCAACCAGCACAAAATAGAGCATTAAACCACCAAAGCTAAGAACCCTCATGAAGCCCATTGCACCACCCCGCCACCTCCACCGGAACAGGCACTGGCATCCACAGCTGAGAGACCCATAGACAGTTCACATCACAGGACTCTGCAGACAACCCCCAGTACCAGCCCAGAGCTGGGTAGACTTTCTGGGTGGCTAGACCGGGAAAGAAACAATAATCACTGCAGTTTAGCTCACAGAAAGCCACGTCCATAGGAAAAGGGAGACAGTCTACATCAAGAGAACACCCCATGGGACAAAAGAATCTGAACAAGAGTATTCAGCTCAAGACCTTCCCTCTGACAGAGCCTATGCAAATGAGAAGGAACCAGAAAACCAACCCTGGTAATATGACAAAACAAGCCTCGTTAACATCCCCCAAAAATCACACTAGGTCAACAGAACTGGATCCAAATCAAGAAGAAATCCCTGATTTACCTGAAAAAGAATTCAGGAGGTTAGTTATTAAGCTAATCAGGGAGGCACCAGAGAAAGGCAAAGCCCAGTGCAAGGAAATCTAAAAAAAAGATACAAGAAGTAAAGGGAGAAATATTCAAGGAAATAAATAGCTTAAAGAAAAAGACAATCAAAAATTCAGGAAACATTGGACATACTTACAGAAATGCAAAATGCTCTGGAAAGTCTCAGCAATAGAACTGAACAAGTAGAAGAAAGAAATTCAGAGCTCAAAGACAAGGTCTTTGAATTAACCCAATCCAATACACACAAAGGAAAAAGAATAAGAAAATACGAACAAAGCATCTAAGAGGTCTGAGATTACGTTAAATGACCAAACCTAAGAATAATTGGTGTTCCTGAGGAAGAAGAGAATTCTAAAACCTTGGAAAACATACTTGGGGGAATAATCAAGGAAAATTCCCCAGCCTTGCTAGAGACCTAGACATCCAAACACAAGAAGCAAAAAGAACACCTGGGAAATTCATCACAAAAAGATCATAACCTAGGCACATTATCTTCAGGTTATCCAAAGTTAAGACAAAGGAAATAGTCTTAAGAGCTCTGAGACAGAAGCACCAAGTAACCTATAAAGAAAAACCTATCAGATTAACAGCAGATTTCTCAGCAGAAACCTTACAAGCTGGAAGGGATTGGGGCCCTATCTTCAGCCTCCTCAAATAAAACAATTATCAGCCAAGAATTTTATATCCAGCAAAACTAAGCATCACATATGAAGGAAAGATACAGTCTTTTTCAGACAAACACATACATGTCAAGAGAATTTGCCACTACCAAACCAGCACTACAAGAACTACTAAAAAGGAACTCTAAATGTTGAAACAAATCCTGGAAACACATCAATACATAACCTCTTTAAAGCATAAATCACACAGGACCTATAAAACAAAAATACAGGTTAAAAGCAAAAACAAAAAAAACACAAAGTACACAGGCAACAAATAGCACAATGAATGCAACAGTACCTCCCATTTTAATACTAACATTGAATGTAAATAACCTAAATGCTCCATTTAAAAGATACAGAACTGCAGAATGCATAAAAACTCACCAACCAATAATCTGCTGCCTTCAGGACTCACCTAACATGTAAGGACTCACATAAACTTAAAGTAAAGGGGTGGAAAAAGGCATTTCATGCAAATGGACACCAAAAGTGAGCAGGAGTAGCTACTCTTATAACAGACAAAACAAACTTTAAATCAACAGCAGTTAAAAGAGACAAAGAGGGACATTATGTAATGGTAAAAGGCCTTGTCCAACAGGAAAATATCACAGTCCTAAACATATATGCACCTAACACTGGAGCTCCCAAATTTATAAAACAGTTACTAATAGACTGAAGAAATGAGATAGACAGCAACGCAATAATAGTGGGGGACTTCAATACACCACTGACAGCACTAGACAGGTCATCAAGACAGAAAGCCAACAAAGAAACAATGGATTTAAACTATACTTTGGAACAAATGGACTTAACAGATATATACAGAACATTTCATCCAACAACTGCAGAATATACATTCTATTTAACAGTGCATAGAACCTCCTCCAAGATAGACCATATGATAGGCCATAAAACAAACCTCAATAAATTTAAGAAAATTGAAATTATGTAAGCACTCTCTCAAACCACAGTGGAATACAACTGGAAATCAACTCCAAAAGGAACCTTCAAAACCATGCAAATACATGGAAAATAAATAACCTGCTCCCGAACGAGCATTGGGTCCAAAACGAAATCAAGATGGAAATTAAAAAATTATTCAAACTGAACAACAATAATGATATACCCTCCCAAAACCTCTGGGATACAGCAAAGGTAGTGCTAAAAGAAAGTTTATAGCCCTAAACCCCTACATCAAAAATTCTGGAAGAGCACAAACAGACAATCAAAGGTTGCACCTCAAGGAACTAGAGAAGCAAGAACAAACCAAACCCAAACCCAGCAGAAGAAAGGAAATAACCAAGATCAGAGCAGAAGTAAACGAAATTGAAACACACTAAAAAATACAAAAGATAAATGAAACAAAAATCTGGTTCTTTGAAAAGATAAATAAGATTGCTAGACCATTAGCAAGATTAACCAAGAAAAGAAGAGAGAAAATCCAAATAACCTCACTAAGAAATGAAACAGGCAATATTACAACTGACACCACTGAAATATAAAAGATCATTCAAGGCTACTATGAAACCTTTACACATATAAACTAGAAAACTAGAAGAGATGGATACATTCCTGGAAAAATACAACCCTCCTAGCTTAAATCAGGCAGAATTAGATACCCTGAACAGACCAATAAAAAGCAGCAAGATTGAAATGGCAATTTAAAAATTACCAACAAAAGAAAGTCCAAGACCAAATGGGTTCACAGCAGAATTCTACCAGACATTCAAAGAAGAATTGGTACCAATCTTTTTGACACTATTCCACAAGATAAAGAAAGAAGGAACCCTCCCTAATTCATTCTATGAAGCCAGTGTCACCCTAATACCAAAACCAGGAAAGGGCATAACCAAAAAACAAAACGATAGACCGATATCCTTGATGAACATAGATGCTGACATCCTTAACAAAATACTACCTAACTGAATCCAACAGCATATCAAAAAGATAATCCACCATGATCAAGTGGGTTTCATACCAGGGATGCAGGAATGGTTTAAAATACACAAGTGAATAAACGTGATACACCACATAAGCAGAATTAAAAACAAAAAATCACATGATCATCTCAATGGATGCAGAAAAAGGATTCAACAAAATCCAGCATCCCTTTATGATTAAAACTCTCAGCAAAATCAGCATACAAGGAACACACCTTGTATGTATAAAAATGTAATAAAAGCCAACTATGACAAACCCACAGTCAACATAATACCAAATGGGGAAAAGTTGAAAGCATTCCCTCTGAGAAGCTGAAAGCATTCCCTCTGAGAACTGGAACAAGACAAGGATGCCCACTCTCACCACTCTTCTTCAACACAGTACTGGAAGTCCTAGCCAGAGCAATCAGACAAGAGAAAGAGATAAAAGGAATCCAAATTGGTAAAGAGGAAGTCAAACTGTCACTGTTTGCTGATGATATGATTATGTACCTTGAAAACCCTAAAGACTCCTCCAGAAAGCTCCTAGAATGGATAAAAGAATCCAACAAAGTTTCTGGATACAAGACTCATGTACACAAATCAGTAGCTCTTCTATACACGAATAGTGACCAAGTGGAGAATCAAATCAGAACTCAACCCTTTTACAATAGCTGCAAAAATAAAATAAAATACTTAGCAATATACCTAACCAAGGAGTCAAAAGACCTCTACAAGAGAAACTACAAAACACTGCTGAAAGAAATCACAGATGACACAAACAAATGGAAACACATCCCATGCTCATGGATAGGTAGAATCAATATTATGAAAATGACCACACTGCCAAAAGCAATCTACAAATTCAATGCAATCCCCATCAAAATACCACCATCATTCTTCACAGAATTAGAAAAACAATTCTGAAATTTATATGGAACCAAAAAGGAGCCAGCATAGCCAAAGCAAGACTAAGCAAAAAGAACAAATCTGGAGGCATCACACTACCTGATTTCAAACTCTACTATAAGGCCATAGTCAGAAGAACAATGTGGTACTGGTATAAAAATAGACACATAGACCTATACAGAATAGGAACAGAATAGAGAACCCAGAAATAAATCCAAATACTTACAGCCAACTGATCTTGACAAAGCAAACAAAAACATAAAGTGGGGAAAGGACACCCTTTTCAACAAATGGTGCTGGGATAATTGGCTAGCCACAGGTAGGAGAATGAAACTGGATCCTCATCCCTCATCTTATACACAAATCAACTCAAGATGGATTAAGGACTTAAACCTAAGACCTGAAACTACAAACATCCTAGAAGATAACATTGGAAAAACCCTTCTAGACATAGGCTTAGGCAAGGATTTCATGACCAAGAACCCAAAAACAAATGCAATAAAAACAAAGATAAATAGTTGGGACTTAATTAGACTAAAAACTTTTGCACTGCAAAAGGAACAGCCAGCAGAGTAAACAGACAACCCATGGAGTGGGAGAAAATCTTCACAATCTATACATCTGACAAAGGACTAATACCCAGAATCTACAACGAACTCAAACAAATCAGTAAGAAAAAAAAACAATCCCATCAAATAGTGGGCTAAGGATATGAATAGACAATTATCAAAAGAAGATACACAAATGGCCAACAAACATATGAAAAAATGTTCAACATCACTAATGATCAGGGAAATGCAAATCAAAACCACAATGCGATACTACCTTACTCCTGCAAGAATGGCCATAATCAAAATATCAAAAAACAGTAAATGTTGGTGTGGCTGCAGTGATCAGGGAACACTTCTACACTGCTGGTCGGAATGTAAACTAGTACAGCCATTATGGAAAACAGTGTGGAGATTCCTTAAAGAACTAAAAGTAGAACTATGGTTTGATCCAGCAATCCCACTACTGTGTGTCTACCCAGTGGAAAAGAAGTCATTATATAAAAAAGATGCTTGCACATGCAGGTTTATAGCAGCACAATTCACAATTGCAAAATGGTGGAATCAACCCAAATTCCCATCAATCAATGAGTGGATAAAGAAACTGTGGTGTATGTACATATATGATGGAATACTACTGAGCCATAAAAAGGAATTAATTAGCAGCATTTGCAGTGACCTGAATGAGACTAGAGACTATTATTCTAAGTGAAGTAACTCAGGAATGGAAAACCAAACATCATATGGTCTCACTGATATGTGGTAGCTAAGCTGTAAGGATGCAAAAGCATAAGAATGATACAATAGACTTTGGGGACTTTGGGGGAACAGTGCGAGAGGGGCAAGGGATAAAAGAGTACAAATATGCTGCAGTGTATACTGCTCAGGTGATGGGTGCACCAAAATCTCACAAATCACCACTAAAGAACTTTCTCATGTAACCAAATACCACCTGTACCTCAATAACTTACGAAAAAAAAAAGATGCACATTTCCAAACTACAAAAAAAAAAAGATGTTTAGGAAAGCAGTGTTGGATAATATAAAAAATCCAGACCTTGGTGATAAATAGATTTGGGTTCCAGTCCCTGTTCTTTTCCTTCAACTATAGCAGTTCGGCCTTAACTTATAACTGTGAGTAATATTTGTACCTACTTCTTAGGGTTTTTGTGAGAACTATGGGAGTTATTCATCTAAAGCACTTAGCACAATGCTTAGCACTTAATAAAACAAATTAAATTAATAAACCAAATTAACCAAATTAAATCGGCAATGGCAATGTAAGATTGGCCTGCAAGAGATATAGTGGGAGTACTGGTAGTAGTAAAGATCTGGGTTAATGTAGGGAGCTATCCTTTTATCTTAGTGCTGCTAACTGAACTTCAGTTTTCCTCTGAGGAGCCACCTACACCCTCCCCCGTTCTCAATCCATGAAATCCAGGATGAGTTGACACCAACCTAGGTTCCAGTAGTCAAGATGTAAGTAAAACTTGATCATCGATCAGTTCATTTTATTCCACTAGCACGGTGATGGCGTTAGAGGTGAGAACATGACCCAGTGAGAGCCAATAAGATACAATGACAGTTTTGCTTAAAAAGCTGAGAGAAAGAAGCCTAACATCATTCTGTTGTACTCAAAGCTTGAGTAGGGTGCCCTGTGGCTTTCGGCAGTTACTTTCCCTCACATGAAAAAAAAGCAGGGAAAAAGCCAACACAGAGAAATAATGATGAAAAGAAATAGTCCTGGTGACATAATTTGATGACTACATTCACTTGTGCTGAAGTTATGGTTAAACAAGACAATAAGTTCCATTTTGGGCTTATACTATTTTTGTAGTCAAAAGAACTGGAACTGATATACTCAGATGCATTTTTTAAAAATATTTATGTTAGAAAATAGCCCCACAAACTATTCAACACATTTCTAAAGGTAGTATGTAATTAAAGAGAAAAAGTGCATATGACCATTTCAATAGGTGCAAAAAAAACTCAAATTTTAATATCCATTAATTTTTTTTTTAAATAACAAACTAGGAAAAAGAAGGAATCTCTCTTAATCTAATAGGCGGTATCTGGAAAAATAAAACCATAGCAAATAATTGACTTAGTGGTGAATCATTTAAAAGCTTTCCCTTCCAGACTGAAAACAAGACAAAGATTACACTGATCACAACATTTACTAAACATTGTTGGTTATATTGAAGGCTGTAGATGGTGCAGTAAAGCAAAGAAAGAAAGAGAGAAAAAAAACAATTTGAAAAGAAGTAACCAAACATCATTTTTAGATTGTATAATTATGCACACAGGAAATCCAAAAGAATCTACTGATACATAATTGGAGTAATAAGAAAGTTTAGCATGGTTGCTGGATACAAAGACAATATACAAAAATCAACAGCATTTCTATACTAAAAATAAACAATTAGAAAATTAAATTTTTAAAGTGATAGTATAAACAATAGAATCAGTAATGGTAAGTACATAGAAATAAATCATTTTTAGAAGGTTCAAGCCTCTTCAGGGGTCTTGTGCCTTTAAAAAAAAAATTTGGCCAGGTGCGGTGGCTCACGCCTGTAATCCCAGAACTTTGGGAGGCTGAGGCAGGCAGATTGCCTGAGCTCAGGAGTTTGAGACCAGCCTGGGCAACACAGTGAAACCCTGTCTCTCCTAAAATACAAAAAATTAGCCAGGGAAAAAATTAGCCAGGCGTGGTGGCGGGCACCTGTAGTCCTAGCTACTTGGGAGGCTGAGGCAGGAGAATTGCTTGAACCTAGGAGGCAAAGGTTGCAGTGAGCTGAGATTGTGCCACTGCACTCCAGCCTGGGTGACAGAGTGAGACTCCATTTCCAAAAAAAAAAAAATTTTTAATTTTAATAAAATTTAATTATAAATTAGGTTTTTAAAAAATTATTATGAAATGTAATTATAAATTTTATAACTATGTTGAAGTATATTAAAGGACACATGATTAAATGGAAATTCATACCATATTCATTGACTGAAAGATTCAACAGGGTTTGGGATTTTGTTTTGTTTTAAAACTTGACAAGCTGGTTTTAAAACATATATGATAATGTAAAGGGCCAAAAGTATCCAAGACAATCTTGAATAAGTAGAAAAATGTCAGAGGATTTGCTCTAAGAGATATCAAGATATATAGATATCAAAGCTACAGTAGTTAAAACAATGTAGAATTGATACAGTGATAGACAAACCAAGAGCTAACATAAAAGAGAAACTAAAAAGAGACTCACACTTATGTGGACCTTGATTTAGACAGAGTGGCAATACAGTGTATGAGGAAAATGACAAGTATTTTTAATACTAATGCTGAGACACTCAATTATATATGTAAGAAGAAATAAAATTGGACTTGAAAAGATGCTGACCTCATTGGTAAGAAGGAAAATGCAATTTAAAAATCACAGTGAGACACCGCTACACACTCATCAGAATGGTTAAAATGTAAACCATCTGATGTTTATTGCGGCACTATTCACAATAGCAAAGACTTGGAACCAACCCAAATGTCCATCAGTGATAGACTGGATTTAAAAAATGTGGCACATACACACCATAGAATACTATGTAGCCATAAAAAAGGATGAGTTCATGTCCTTTGTAGGGACATGGATGAAGCTGGAAACCATTAGTCTGAGCAAACTATCACAAGGACAGAAAATCAAACACCGCATGTTCTCACTCATAGGTGGGAATTGAACAATGAGAACACTTGGACACACGTTCCCCACAGGGTGGGGAACATCACACACTGGCGCCTGTCGTGGGGTGGGGGGAGGGGGGAGGGATAGCATTAGGAGATATACCTAATGTAAATGGTGAGTTAGTGGGTGCAGCACACCAACATGGCACATGTATACATATGTAACAAACCTGCACGTTGTGCATATGTACCCTAGAACTTAAAGCACAATAAAAAAAAACGGTAAAAATAAATTTGGATATTAAATTTAAAAAAAATGTAAACCATCTGAAATACCAAGTGTTGGTGAGGGTGTAAAACAATGGGTATCCTCGGCCAGGCACGGTGGCTCACGCCTGTAATCCCAGTACTTTGGGAGGCCGAGGCGGGCAGATTACGAGGTCAGGAGATCGAGACCATCGTGGCTAACACGGTGAAACCCCGTCTCTACTAAAAATACAAAAATTAGCCGGGCGTGGTGGTGGGCGCCTGTAGTCCCAGCTACTCAGGAGGCTGAAGCAGGAGAATGGCATGATGGCATGAACCAGGGAGGCGGAGCTTGCAGTGAGCCTAGATCACACCACTGCACTCCAGCCTGGGCGACAGAGCGAGACTCCGTCTCCAAAAAAAAAAAAAATGGGTATCCTCATGTACTGTTGATAGGAGTGTAAATGGGTTCAAACACTTTGGAAAAAGATGGCATTATTTTTTAATGGGGAAGCAATGCATATCCTGTGACCTAGCAATTTAATTTCACTCCAGATACATAACATATAGGAATGTAGGTATGTCTGTGTATACAAGAATATACATAGAGACATGTACATGGTTTGTAATAACTGAAAACTGGAAATAATCCAAACATCCAGCAACAGGAGAATGCAACTTTTGTGTGATATTTTCATGCAATGGAATGCTATATAGCAATGCAAATAAACAACAGCTACATACCACATGAGTGGATGTTAAAAACAGTCAAGAAACAAGACAACAAAAACACTGCAAAATTACATACTAAAATTGAAAATGGGCAAACTTAAAATGCATTGTTTAGGATGCTTACAAAGGTGGAAAAATTATAAAGAAAAGCAAGGATGTGATTACTATAAATGTAAGAGAGAAAAAAAAGTGATGCAGACAGGAAGAAGTAGCAGGATGGAGAAATCACATAAAAAGTCATACAAAGGGAGGTCTGGGGACTGTCAATTTCCATTGGTGCTATTCAGCAGGACTTCCTGTAATGAAGAAACTGCTCTAGATCTGAGATGTCCAACACTACAGCTTCTTGTCATATGTGGCTACTGAGAACTGGAAATGTGGCTAGTGTGACTGAGGAGATAAATTTTAATATTATTTCGGCCAGGCGTGGTGGCTCAGGCCTGTAATCCCAGCACTTTGGGAGGCTGAGGTGGGTGGATCACCTGAGGTCAGGAGTTCAAGATCAGCCTGGCCAACATGGTGAAACCCCATCTCTACTAAAAATACAAAAATTAGCTGGGCATGGTGGCAGGCACCTGTAATCCCAGCTACTTGGGAGGCTGAGGCAGGAGAATCGCTTGAACCCAGGAGGCAGAGGCTGCAGTAAGCTGAGATCGTACCATTGCACTCCAGCCTGGGCGACAGAGCAAGACTCCGTCTCAAGAAAAAAAAATTAATATTATTTCATTTTAGTTATTTAAAATTTAAATATAAATAGCCCAATGGCTGCTGTTTTGGACAATGCAGCATCTAGTTTGTATCGATCAAGTTTCCAAAGGGAAACAGAGGGCTCACTCAAAATAGAGTAGTGGTCTTTAAAAGGTTTCAGAGAAGAAAAAAGAAACAAAAGAAAAATAGAGTCATTTAAGGAGGATTCATTTATGAGACAGCTAATCACAAAGGTACAGGTATAGGGGAGACACAAGAGATGGTTTTGCAACCTAAGGCTAATGGTAGCCAACCATTAATGTGACCATCCCTAGACCTGAAGGGACAAGGAAAAGATGTGATTCCTAGAAGGAGAGAAAATTAAGTAGATTCTGCCATGTTAAGAGGAGCAGTGACCTTTAGTGGAGAAACCCAGTCAGCCAGAGGTAATATCACATTAGGAGCCAAGGGAATATAAGCCTTAACACCACTCTCTTTTCCTCCCTACAATCTCCTGCTGTGTCTCCCCATCAGCCAGGCCCAAGAGGAAGTCAGAGGGGAAAATTGCTCACAGATCCACACAGGTCAGTCTCCCAGATCAATGTCAGATGGTGGCTAGATCTAGGGGACAAATAAAAGATGCC
Organism: Homo sapiens; assembly: GCF_000001405.40. NCBI lineage: Eukaryota > Metazoa > Chordata > Mammalia > Primates > Hominidae > Homo > Homo sapiens. The sequence goes on along the minus strand of NC_000011.10, from coordinate 34,384,023 downwards.
CAGCACATGGATCTTGACTGAGATGCTTGCTGCGTTATTATTACACTATACATTTTTTACTGTAAGAGATTATAGTATAAAAAAGAAAAGGGAGAAGAGAAGGTAGAAAGGAAAGAAGGAAAAGGAAGGAGAGAAGGGAAGGAAGGAAGCAAGCAAGGAGGGAGGAAGAAGGGAGGGAAGGAAGGAACTAAAAGAGGAAAAATTAAAAAGAAAGTGAATAGAAAGGAAAGAAAATAAACCCGACCAACTAGCTCCTGCATTATGTACTAGTAAGAATCTGATGGATTTATCAACTGAAAAATAGTAACCAAAAGTCTGAATAAATGGTTGTCATCAAATGTTTTTGTCAAGTCAGTAAAATAATACAGCAATTTTTTTTTTTTTTTAGACGGAGTCTCGCTCTTTCACCCAGGCCGGACTGCGGTGGCGCTATCTCGGCTCACTGCAACCTCTGCCTCCTGGGTTCACGCCATTCTCCTGCCTCAGCCTCCCGAGTAGCTGGGACTACAGGCGCCCGCCACCACGCCCGGCTAATTTTTTGTATTTTTAGTAGAAACAGGGTTTCACCATGTTAACCAGGATGGTCTCGATCTCCTGACCTCGTGATCCACCGCCTCGGCCTCCCAAAGTGTTGGGATTACAGGCGTGAGCCACCGCACCCAGACTAATATAGCATTTTTAATGCTATATATTGCATTTCTTAACCTATGATGAATCTTAGACAATGGTCTCCATTTTTTAGTCTTATTGTCTTTCTTTTTAAAGTCACCAGAAATTAAGTAAAGGACGTATAACATGCTCAGAAATGCTATGAACAGGTACCCACAATTGGGTGGGTCTTTGATTTTGTTTGCCTTCCTGTAGTGTTGGAACCGTACTTCAATGTTCTGGGTAAAACTAGAGCCAGGAAAATGAACTATGCGCACATAGTTCATTTTGAAATGCAAAATGCAAAATGAAAATGTGCACATCAATTAGGAATGCTTTGGCTGAAAGTGAAAGACAATCTGGCTAACTGTGGTTTAACACATAGGGATTATTTTTCTACCTATTAAAAAAGTGATATAGGCAACTGCTGGCGTTGATTCAGTGACCCCATAATTTCAGGTCCAGCATCTCTGCAGTTCTTCTGTTCTCTTCCTCCCAATCACAAATGACCAAGACATCACCAAGTATAAAGATTAAGGCACCAGAGGCAGGTAGGAGGAGGCATTGCAAGGTACAAGTGTCAACATTTTGCTTTTATCAGAAAAGCAAAAGCTTTCTCCACAAACCACCAACAGACCACTGCCCACATCTCATGGTCTAGAACTGTGCCACCCCTAGCTGCAAGGAGGCTGGGAAAGTGAATATTTAGTTTTCTCAGCCTTTATAGGGAAGTTGGCAAGAGATAAGAAAACTGGAAACAGCTATTAGTGAAGCCAGCTAAGCTTTAATGCCTAAAATATTCTCCCTGCAACGTCCAAAATATCTACCATGAAAATGAATTCTTTGGCATTAAAAATAACTTTTAGAAGGCATCTATTTACATATACATGTTTCCTGGAAGGATGATGTAGCAACACACTGGTGCCCATTATCATTTTAGCATTAATTTATTTCTGAAGATTTGCTAGTATTTGCCTAGTACAAAGCCAAGTGTTAAGAGAATAAGATAACTAGGCTTCAACATAGTAAAAATATGCCAGGAAAATTCCAGACACCATCAGTGAACCTTATTAGTTTCAATAAGCAGGTGAAGGCATTACATTTAGCAAGTAGGCAGGGCAGGAAACACTAAAATACATTTCACCCACTGCATTATGTCTAGGATCAGCCTCAAAGCCAGCTCCTGAAGGGCATAGCAGATTGCATCTAATATGTGCCATCAAAACTGGCCCACTACTCCTTTTCAGCCTATCCGGAATCAAGCAGGCATGAAAAATGGACATCATGGAGATGTGATGACAGAAGGCACATACCTAGATTTCTTTCCTCATAGTACAGTGGTTGTTAAGAGCACAGAGTCTAGAACTAGCTAGATTCTTGGGCTCCAAATCCTGGCTCTACTAGCTCTATGACCTTATCAAGTTACTGACCATCACTGTGCTTTGGTTGCCTCATCAGTGGAAAAGATCATAGGGTTGTGATGAGAAAAACAAGTTAATAAATGTAAATAAATATGCATGGTGCATAGTAGGTACTATATAAGAGCTGGCTGCAAAAAATAAGGCCTTTCTCCTGTGATCCCATTAGTATTATGCTTTCATATTTATATGTTTTTGGTAAAGTCTTCCTTTTCTTCTTTTTCTTATATAAGAACAACATAGTTTCACTACAAAGAACTCAGAAAGGACAGGGAAGCAAAATAAACTTTTTCAAGAAAAAAAAATCCACAATCCCTTTCCTCAAGGGAAAACCACTACTAACATATCATATTTCACCCATCTATGTATTTTTATTTTTGCAATAGTGTTCTGTAACACATCTTTTTAAAATTTGACAATATATTATGGACATCTTCCACATCTAGAAATATATTTCTACAGTGTCTTTTTAGTTATCACAAAGTATTCTGTTAAATGAGTATTTCATACTTTACCTTGCCAATTTTCTGCTGTTGAATATTGGCATTATTTCTGTTTTTGTTTGGTTGTTTTTTGTTTGTTTGTTTGTTTTTGTTATTACAGATAGCACTGTGATGAACATCTTTAGAGCTAATTTCTAGTGCATGTCCATAATATTTCCATAGGATAAATTCTCAGAAATAAAATTGCTAGGTCAAAAATCATGCGTATTTTTAAGGCTTTGATGAGTGTGCTTCAATTGATCTCCAGAAAAAAAAAATGCATCCAAGTATCCATTCATTTCCTTACCCCTCTTGAAAATACTATTATTTCTGTTTCATTTACAGTTTTCCTACAATCCTTACTAAGATCCCCAAACTTGATGGTGTCTTTGATATAGCACCCACAACACACAAATCTGTGATTTCTATGTATTATTTACCCTCAGCCCTTGGCCCCTGACCTTTCATCTTAGCTGCATCTCGAGGACTTCCTCTGGTGGACTGGATTTTTACCATGATGTATTTTATGGTGGGATTGTCAACACATCAGATGGACGATGTGATTGTCAACACATACCCTGACTAATATCTAAGTCTTCTGACACACTTTTATGTGCTGCTTACTCAATTACTCAACATTTACTCATCACCAGCTGAATTTGTGAACTACATGCTAGGGAAGCAAAGATGAATAATAATAGTCTTTGACCTAGAGGATCTTCAGCTAAAGGGAGGCAGATAGGTAAAAAGATAAATCACAATGCAATGGGAAATATGCTTTTAAAACATTTTTATCCCATGTCATGATAGCAGAAATTGCTATGCAGTTCATTCATTTATTTCCATAATACATAATAGGTCCAAGCTCTATACTTTCATTTTCAAAATTTATTATTTTTTTATAACAAAGCAATACATGCTCATTTCAGAAAGATCAGAAAATGTAGACAAACAGGAAAAAAACGCTACTTTTAAACTGTAATCCCATCTGTCTTGTCACCATTAGCACTTTCATATATTAAGTTGTTTTCTACTTTTTTAAAACAAAAGTTAGATCAAAACACACATGTTGGCTGGGAGCAGTGGCTCATACCTGTAATCTCAGCAATTTGGGAGGCTGAGGCAGGCAGATCACTTGAGGTCAGGAGTTCGAAACCAGCCAGCCAACATGGTGAAACCCCATCTCAACTAAAAATACAAAAATTAGCTGGATGTGGTGGTGCATGCCTGTATTCCCTGCTACTTGGGAGGCTGAGCCAAGAGAATCATTTGAATTCGGGAGGTGGAGGTTGCAGTGAGCCTGGGTGACAGAGCGAGACTCCGTCTCAAAAACAAACAAACAAAAAACATTTCTGTGATTTGCTTTTTTCACCTAATTATCATAAACATATTTCAAGACAAAAGATATATTTCTGCATCACTTTAAATGGCTCCATATTATTCCACTATATGGATATTTACTTATTTTTAACAATCTGCCATTGTTAGACAGTTACATGTTTATATCTTTTTATAATTACTAACAATACTGCAATTGATTTTGTTGCTAAATATTTGTGCTCATTCTTATTTCTTTACCACAAATTCCAATAAGTTAAGTCATGTGATATTTGAAATGCTTTTCTCATAGTCAGATTTAGAGGCAATGGCTGTAATAGATATCTCCCAGCTCAGTTGCTTTTTGTGGCTTTGGGTTTCAGTCCTACCTGCTAAAGATTAAACTTGATCAAAGGTGCATGTTCTAAGTGACATTAGCAGTGTAGTAATCTAGGAGGTCATAGCCCTTGTCCTGCCACAAAAAAAAAAAAAAAAAAAAAAAAAAAAAAAAAATTTCATAAGCTCCATAGACAAATATAGCCCCAGGAAAGCTCTGGAGTACAATTAAGAAGATGCAGCAATCTAAAAGAACTGAGAACACCCACATAGAATACGGTAGGAAGCGTTTTGCCTGCATTCACCTCATTCCCCAGACAAGCAGAGCCCAGTGAAGAAGAATTTCTTCTGCTGTGAGTCCCCCAGTTGGGAAAAAAAGAGAGCAAAAGGACTTGGCAGGCTTCACCATCGAGGACCCCAGCAGTCATTGTGCTAAGGCCCTGCAGTCTTTGCCAAGAGTAACCCCAGCTGCCAGAGTCACCCAGAGCCCATCAAGCTACTTCCTCATGCCAGCCACAGATAAAGGTCTTTCCCTACCAAAGACAGTCTGTAAAGTTTGAAAGAGGTGACTGTTTCTTCAAATGCACAGACACCAATAGGGTCATATCTTAAAGATATTGTGGTTTGGGTTTCAGACCACTGCAATAAAGTAAATATGCAGTAAAGTGAGTCACACAAATTTGTTGGCTTCCCAGTGCATATAAAATATGTTGATATTATACTGTAGTCTATAAAGTGTGCAACAGCATTATTTCCAAAAAACAATGTACATATCCTAATTTAAAAATACCTCATTGCTAAAAAAAAGGCTAATGATCATCTCCTTGATCCACGGGCTGCAAAATAGATGTTGTGTTAGCAGGCAAAAATCAACTTTAAGGCTGGGCATAGTGGCTCATGCCTGTAATCCCAGAAGTTTGGGAGGCCAACGTGGGTGGATCACCTGAGGTCGGGAGTTCGAGACCAGCCTGATCAACATGGAGAAACCCCATCTCTAGTAAAAATATGAAATGAGTGAGGCATGGTGGTGCATGACTGTAATCCCAGCTATTCAGGATGCTGAGGCAGGAGAATCACTTGAACCCAGGAGGCAGAGGTTGCAGTGAGCCGAGATTGCACCATTGCACTCCAGCCTGGGCAACAAGAGCAAAACTCCATCTAAAAAAAAAAAAAAAAAACCAATTTTAGTTTTCTTATCTATCTCCATCAGAGAGAGATCTTGGGTGACTAAGCACATTGTCAATGAGCAGTAATATTTTGAAAGAAATATTTTATTGTGATAAGTAGGTCTCAACAGTAGGATTAAAATATTCAGTAAACCATGCTGTAAACAGATGTACTATCATCCAGTTTTGTTGTTCCATTTTTAGAGCACAGGCAGTGTAGAGTTAGCATAACTCTTAAGGGTCCTGGAATTTTCAGAATGGTAAATGAACACTGGCTTCACCTTAAAGTCATAAGCTGCATTAGCCCCTAATGAGAGAGTCAGCCTGTTCTTTGAAGCTTTGAAGCCAGGCATTGACATCTCTCTAGCTATGAAAGTCCTAGATTACATCATCTGATAGAAGACTGTTTCATTTACACTGAAAATATGTTGTTTACTGTAGCTACCTTCATCAGTGATCTTAACTAGATATTCTGGATAACTTGCTACAGCTTCTAAATCATCTTTTACTGCTTCACCTTGCACATTTATGTTATAAAGATGACCTATTTCCTTAAACCTCATGAGCCATCTTCTGCTAGCTTCCGACTTTTCTTCTGCAGCTTCCTCACCTCTCGCTGCCTTCACAGAATTGAGGAGTGTTAAGTCATGGCTCTAGGTTATGGCTTGGCCTAAGGGAATATTGTGCCTGGTTTGATCTTCCATCCAGACCACTAAAACTTTCTTCATATCAGCAGAAAGTTTGTTTCACTTTTTTTAAAATATCATTTGTGTGTTCACTGGAGTATTACTTTTAATTTCCCTCAAGAACTTTTCTGGACAAGGCATGGTGACTCATGCCTGTAATCCCAGCACTTTGGGAGGCCAAGGCAGGCAGATCACCTGAGGTCAGGAGTTTGAGACCAGCCTGACCAACATGGTGAACACCATTTCTACTAAAAATACAAAATTAGCTGGGCATGGTGGTACATGTCTGTAACCCCAGCTACTCAGGAGGATGAGGCAGGAGAATTGCCTGACCACAGGAGGCAGAGGTTGCAGTGAGCCAAGATTGTGCCACTGCACTCCAGCCTGGGTGACAGAGCAAGACTCCATCTTAAAAAAAAAAAAAAAAAAAAAAAGCTTTTCCTTTGCATTCACAGCTTGGCTGTTTGGCACCACAGGCCTAGCTTTTGGCCTGTCTTGACTTTTAACATGCTTTCCTCACTAGGCTTAATCACTACTAGGTTTTGATTTAAATTAAGAGACATGCAACTTTTCTTTCACTTGAACATGTAGAGTCCATTGTAAGGTTATTAACTGACCTAATTTCTATACTGCTGTGTCTCAGGGAATAGGAAGAGAGATGTCTCAAGGGAAGAAAGAGAGATGAGCGAGTGGCTGGTTGGTAGAGTGATTGGAACATACACAACATTGCCGTGGCTCATGCCTGTAACCTTCCACTTTGGGAGTCTGAGGAGGGCAGATCATCTGAGGTCAGAAGTTCAAGACAAGCCTGGCCAACATGGCAAACCCCCGTCTCTACTAAAATACAAAAATTAGTGGGGCATGGTGGTGCACACCTGTAGTCCCAGCTACTCAGGAGGCTGAGGCAGGAGAATCACATGCTGAGGATTTCTCAGCAGAAACCTTGCAGGCCAGGAAAGAGTGAGATGTTATATTTAAAGTACTGAGAAAGAAAAAAAATTGTCAACCAAGAATATTATACCTAGCAAAACTATCCTTAAAAAAGAAAGAAAGATAAACTTTTTTTCAGACAAACAAAAATTGAGACAGTTTGTCACCACTAGATCTGTCTTGTAAGAAATGCTTAAGGGAGTTATTTAAATTGAAATGAAAACATGATAAACAGCAACATGAGAGCATATGAAAGCACATATCTCACTGTCTATATATTCAGTAAACCATGCTCTAAACAGATATACTGTCATCCAGGATTTATTGTTCCATTTATAGAGCACAGGCAGAGAGTGGATTTAGCATAACTCTTAAGGGCCCTAGGATTTTCAGAATGGTAAATGAGCATTGGCTTCCCTTTAAAGTCATGAGCTGCATTAGCCCCTAACAAGAGAGTCAGCCTGTTGTTTGAAGCCAGGCATTGACTTCAGGTAAATATATAGACAAATACAGAATAATGTATCAATGTAATGGCATTGCATAAATTACTTTTAACCCTAATATCAAAGTTAAAAGACAAAAAATATTTAGAATAAATATAACCGGGGCAGGTATGGCAGCTCATGCTTAAAATCCCAGCATTTTGGGAGGCTGAGGTGGGTAGATCAGTTGAGGCCAGGAGTTCAAGACAAGCCTGGCCAACTTGGTGAAACCCCATCTCTACTATAACTACAAAAATTATCTGGGTATGGTGGCACACGTCTGTAATCCCAGCTACTCAAGTGGCTGGGGCACAAGAATCACTTGAACCTGGGAGGCAAAGGTTGCAGTGAGCCACGATCATGTCACTGCACTCCAGCCTGGGTGACAGAACAAGATTCTGTATCAAAAAAAAAAAAAGGCACAACTATAACCACAAATACCTGTTAATGGATACACAATATAAAAAGAAATAAACTCTGGCTACAAGAACAAAAATATGTATGTATGTGGCAGGGGCAAAAGTGTATAGTTTTTGTATGTAATTAAAGTTAAATTGTTACAAACATAAAATATGCAGATATAGCTACAAGATATTCGATTCCAGCTTTGAGGTAAACACAAAGAAAAAAAATAATAGGTGCACAAAAGATAAAAAGAAAAGAATCCAAGTAAATCACTGCCAAAACAAAGAAAAAATCACCAAATAACAAAAGAAGATAGAAAGTAAGGAAGAGAACAAAATAACTGCAAAACAAGCAAACAGAAACAACAAGATGGCAATAGTAAGTCCTCACTTACCAATTTACTTTAAATGTAAAAGGACTGCAAGAGACTCACTTTAGATTTAAGGACACACATGGGCTGAAAGTGAAGGAATGAAAAAATATATTCCATGCAAATGGTAACCAAAAGAGAAGAGGGTTGGTTATACTTATATCAGACAAAATAGACTGATATAGACAGATAGATAGATAGATAGATGATAGATAGATAGATAAAACTGTTTCTAGAGATAGATGAGGTCATTATATGATGACAAAAGCACAGTTAACAGAAACATGTAATAATTATAAATACTGTACACACTCTACATCAGAGTACCTAAATATATATGCACATATTGACAGACCCAAAAGGAGAAATTAACAGCAATACAATAATAGTAGAACTTTAATATCCTTCTTTCAATAACAGAACATCCAGATTGAAAATCAATAAAGAAACTTGAAAAGAAAACTAACTTGAACAACACATTAGACCAAATGGACCTAACAGACATATATACAGAACTATCCAACAGCAGAATAAACATTCTTCTCAGGTATACACAACGCATTCTCCATGATAGATCACATATTAGTTACAAAACAAGACTTAGCAAATTTAAGAAGATTGAAATCATTCCAGGCATTTTTTGGACCACAATGGAATGAAACTAGAAATCAGCAACAGAAAGAAAATGGGAACATTCACAAATATGTGGAAATTAACAATACACTCATGAACAACCGTTGGGTCAAAGAGGAAATCAAAGTTAATTTTTAAAATATCTCAAGACAAATGAAAATGAAAACACAACATACCAAAACTTATGAGATGCAGCAATAGCAGAACTTACAGGGTGGTTAATAGTGATTAATATCTATGTTAATGAAGAAAATCTTGAATAACTCACCTAACTTTAAACTTTGAGGAACTAAAAAAAGAGCAACACTAAGCCTAAAGTTAGCAGAATGAAACAATAAAGATTAGAGCAGAAATGAATAGAGTAGAAAAACAATAGAAAAAATCAACACAACTAAGAGTCGGGTTTTTGAAAAGATAAAATTGACAAACCCTTAGTTAGACTAACAAAGAAAAAGAGAGGGGAGAGAGAGAGAGACTCAGATAAACCCAGAAATGAAAGAGGAGACATCACAAAGGGTGCCTCAGAAACAAAAAGGATTATAAAAGACTATTATGAACAATTATATGCCAACAAATTGGATAACCTAGAAGAAATCAATAAATTCTTAGTAATATACCACCTACAAAAACCGAACCAAGAATAAATAGGCTGAACAAACAAATAACAAATAAGGAGATTGAATCAGTAATAAAAAAATCTTCCAACAAAGAAAAGCCTAGGACCAGATGGCTTCACAGTGAATTATATCAAACATTCAAAGAAGAATGGTGTATATGTGACACATTTTCTTACATATACACCATGGAATACTATGCAGCCATAAAAAATGATGAGTTCATGTCCTTTGCAGGGACATAGATGAAGCTGGAAACCATCATTCTCAGCAAACTAACACAGGAACAGAAAACCAAACACCGCATGTTCTCACTTATAAGTGGGAGTTGAACAATGAGAACACATGGACACAGGGAGGGGAACATCACACACCAGGGCCTGTTGGGGGTGGGGGGCTAGGGGAGGGATAGCATTAGGAGAAATACCTAATGTAGATGACGGGTTGATGGGTGCAGCAAACCTCCATGGCACCTGTATACCTATGTAACAAACCTTCACATTCTGCACATGTATCTCAGAACTTAAAGTAATAAAAATATAAAATATAAAATAAAATATAAAATATAAAATATAAAATAAAAATATAAAAAAAATAAAAATATAAAGTAATAAAAAAATAAAAAATAAATAAACAAAAAAGAATGAATACTAATCCTTCTTAAAGATGTTAATAATAGGGGAAACTGGGTGTAGGGCCTATGTAGACTCTCTGGACTACCTCCACAATTTTTTTAAGCTAAAGGTATCCTAAAATAAATTGTTTATTATATAAAAGGGCATGTACCATGGGCTGAAGTTCCAAGACTTTTACCCCTGCAGCAGGCTGGGGGCTATCACAGGATGACTATTAGCTCTAAAATGTAATGTCTTCTTCTTTTTCTTTCTTTCTTTCTTTTTTTGAGACAGAGTCTCCTTCTGTCACCCAGGCTGGAAGTACAGTGGTGAGATCTTGGCTCACTGCAACCTCCGCCTCCTGGGTTCAAGAAATTCTCGTGCCTCGGTCTCCCGAGTAGCTGGGATTACAGGCGTGCACCACCACACCTCCTGGCTACATTTTGTATTTTAGTCGAGATGAGGTTTCTCCATGTTGGCCAGGCTGGTCTCAAACTCCTGGCCCTAAGTGATCCTACCTGCCTCAGCCTCCCAAAGTGCTGGGATTACAGGCATGAGCCACCGCACCCGGCCTATAATGTCTTCTTGAAGCCTGATTGGCAGGCTCCCTGGGATAAGTTGCAGACTACCTTCCCAGGTGTTTCTTTCTTCCTAATAGTTTTCTGATATCAACATTTACATCTCAATTCTCTAAGTACACTCTTGGTAGGGTTCTACCTGGCGTGCACTCAGTGTGGCTTACCAGACACCATGGGGGTGTTCCCTGCTGCAAATTTGTACATGATCTTGGTGGACTTCAAGCTGACTGTCATGTCAGCATGTTAGCCCTGTTCAAAGAACAGCTTACTCTCTGGGGGTTTTATTCCTTTTTTTTTTTTTTTTTTTTGAGACGGAATTTTGCTCTTGTTGCCCAGGCTGGAGTACAATGGCAAGATCTCGGCTCACCACAACCTCCGCCTCCCAGGTTCAAGCGATTATCCTGCCTCAGCCTCCTGAGTAGCTGGGATTACAGGCATGCACCACCACACCCAGTTAACTTTGTATTTTTAGTAGAGACGGGGTTTCTCCATGTTGGTCAGGCTGGTCTGGAACTCCCAACCTCAGGTGATCCGCCTGCCTCAGCCTCCCAAAGTGCTGGGATTACAGGCGTGAGCCCCCGCGCCCCGCCATATTCTTATTCAAAGAAAATGAGGGCGGACGCAGTGGCTCAAGCCTGTAATCTCAGCACTTTGGGAGGCCAAGGAGGGTGGATCACGAGGTCAAGAGATCGAGACCATCCTGGCTAACACGGTGAAACCCCGTCTCTACTAAAAGAAAAAATACAAAAAAATTAGCCGGGCGTGGTGGCGGGCGCCTGTAGTCCCAGCTACTCAGGAGGCTAAGGCAGGAGAATGGCATGAACCCAGGAGGCAGAGATTGTAGTGAGCCGAGATCGCGCCACTACACGCCAACCTGGGCGACAGAGTGAGACTCCGGCTCAAAAAAAAAAAAAAAGAAAAGAGAATGAGAAGCAAGATGATGAAGTGGTAGAGTCCTTGAATGACAAACACTAATGAACCAGGGCTTCTGCAGCAGGCCCTGTGCTGGGCATATTGGTACAATGCTTTCAACATGGCTTGCCTAACTCTTCTGGTGTGCAGCGTGCCTGGAGAATTGCTAGATTTAACCCAAGACCCCAGTTATCAACTTTTAGAAAAAATCTTGGAATCAGATTACAGAAAACGAAACAAAATGGTGCTCAAAATTATACCCCAAGAGGCCAGGCGCAGTGACTCACGCCTGTAATCCTTGCACTTTGGGAGGCTGAGGCGGACAGATCAACTGAAGTCAGGAGTTTAAGACCAGCCTGGCCAACATGATGAAACTCCATCTCTACTAAAAATACAAAAATTAGCCAGGCGTGGTGATGTATGCCTGTAATCCCAGCTACCCAGGAAGCTGAGGAAAGAGAATCGCTGAAACCCAGGAGGTGGAGGCTGCAGTGAGCCGAGGTCGCACCACTGCACTCCAGCCTAGGTGACAGAGCAAAACTCCGTTTCCAAAAAAAAAAAAAAAAATAGACAACAACAACAAAAAATTATACCCCAAAAGTTTCACTACACCCCTTTAGTCACCAGTTTCCAGGCTAAGTCTGAACAAGGAGCAGTTGTTTTCCTCTCTTCAACACCTTGAAAAAGCAAATGACAGCAGAGACAGAGTTGCATCATCAGTATTATTTCATCAACTGCTTCTCAAGAATTTCAGAAAGCAGGCTATAACCAGACTCATGGGATGAGTCACGTGGCATTTGCTCTTGTCATTAAGAGTCAGAATGTTTGCTAAAACAGCCATAGCCTGAGTCATCACTTTACAGAATGTCACACGAATAATGCCCAGGAATAAAGAACATTGATTCTCTTTCTTTCACTCCCTGGAAAATACAGCCTTTATAGTGGGGTTATAAGGTACGTGAGAGAGCTACTTCATTAAGTTATTTTTTATTGTAGATTAAATGTTTGAGGTTACTTTTACTTATTGCTGGCCTAAATAATGTCCCACACTGCAATCCTGTCCTTTTTCTAGCTAACTACCTGATCGTGACTTTTCCTTGTTTTGAAGAGAGAAAGTCTTCTAAATGTCCCAAATTGTGGTGTTTTGTGAGTATTTACACATCCTTTGCCAAGAATCTTCATAAGCAAAATATGTGTGGCCCTACAAAGAAAATAGAGCTTTCTATTTTTGATCAATGAGTACTGCATAATTCAGTTAAACTCAACTGAGTTTAATCCAACAAATATTTATTATCTATTCTAGGTTTAAAGTGTACTAAGCTCTAGTGGGGAAAGAGTGTTTCTGTCTTCAAGAAACACAGAACAGTAGGAAAGAAAGACATACACCCGTGAAACAAATTATTAGCTTTACATGATAAATGTCATTCTTTCATTCAACAAAAATATTAAATATTTTCCATGAATCAGAGCCTGTGCGGAGTAGGAACCAGGGATACAAAATTAAATGAAATAGCCTCTGCTTTCAAGGTGCACACAATCAAATGGAGAAACACAGACAAGTAAACAATAGTTACATTAGACTGTGATGAGCGATGATAACAGCAGAAATGGGACCAAAGAGTTGGCAGAGGGGTCTGGGAGGCTTACAGAAAACTTCAGAGAGGAAATGACTTCTGAGAGTTCCCACTAAAAGGAAACAGAGGCAAAGCATGGTGGCTCATGCCTGTAATCCCAGCACTTCGAGAAGCCATGAGGGGCAGATTACTTGAGGCCAGGAGTTCGAGACCAGCCAGGCCAACATGGCGAAACCCCATCTCTACTAAAAATACAAAAATTAGCTGGGAGTGGTGCCTCACACTTGTAATCCCAGCTACTTGGGAGGCTGAGGCACAAGAATCACTTGAACCCAGGAGGCGGAGCTTGCAGTGAGACGAGATCGCACCACTGCACTCCGGCCTGGGCGACAAAGCCAGACTGTCTCTAAAATAAAGAAAAAGAAAACTGTGTTCCAGCATTCATCTGTTGAAATAGGATCACCCCTAATCCCACTAAACCTCTTCAATTTCGACTTGACTCCTTACTTTGATTTGGAATGTTTAAAGAAAAGGTCCTGGCCGGGCGCAGTGGCTCACGCCTGTAATCCCAGCACTTTGGGAGGCTGAGGCGAGTGGATCACCTGAGGTCAGGAGTTCGAGACCAGCCTGACCAACATGGAGAAACCCATCTCTACAAAAAAAAAAAAAATACAAAAACTTAGCCAGGTGTGGTGGTGCATGTCTGTAATCCCAGCTCCTCAGGAGGCTGAGGCAGGAGAATCACTTGAACCCAGGAGGCGGAGGTTGCAGTGAGCCAAGATTGTGCCATTGCACTCTAGCCTGGGCAACAAGAGTGAAACTCTGTCTCAAAAAAAAAGAAAAGAAAAGAAAAGGTCCTAATTGGGGCTCAATTTTTACCCTTTGTTACTGAATTAAGACATATCTCCACTATATTTGTAGGCTTGATTGTTTTTAAATTAATTATGCATTGAAAAGTCTAAAAAAGCTACTATCTTTTAGTTCTTTAAGAAATCTCCACACTGTTTTCCACACTGGTTGTACTAGTTTACATTCCTACCAGCAGTGTAAAAGTGTTCCCTTTACACCATATCCATGCCAACATCTATTTTTTTTTTATTATGGTTATTCTTGCAGGAGTAAGATGGTATCACACTGTGGTTTTGATTTGCATTTCCCTGATCATTAGTGATGTTGAAGATTTTTTCATGTTTGTTGGTCATTTGTATATCTTCTTTTGAAAATTGTCTTTTCATGTCCTTAGCCCACTTTTTGATGGGATTGTTTGGCGTTTTATTGCTGATTTGTTTGAGTTCCTTGTAGAAAGGTTCTGGATATTAGTCCTTTGTTGGAAGTATAGATTGCAAAGATTTTCTCCCATTCTGTGGGCTATTTACTCTGCTCATTGTTTCTTTGGCTGTGCAGAAGCTTTTTAGTTTAAGTCCCATCTATTTATCTTTGTTTTTGTTGCATTTGCTTTTGGGTTCTTGGTGATTAAGTCTTTGCCTAAGCCAATGCCTATAAGGGTTTTTCCAATGTTATCTTCTAGAGTTTTTATGATTTCAGGTCTTAGATTTAAGTCCTTGATCCATCTTGAGATGATTTTTGTAGAAGATGAGAGATGAGAATCCAGTTTTATTCTTCTACATGTGGCTTGCCAATTATCCCTGCACCATTTGTTGAATAGGGTGTCCTTTCCTCCACTTTATGTTTTTGTTTGGTTTGTCAAAGATCAGTTGGCTGTAAGTATTTGGGCTTATTTCTGGGTTCTCTATTCTGTTCCATTGGTCTATGTGCCTATTATTAAGCCAGTACAATGCTGTTTTGGTGACTATGGCCTTATAGCATAGTTTGAAGTCAAGTAAAGTGATGCCTCCAGATTTGTTCTTTTTGCTTTGTCTTGCTTTGGCTATGCAGGCTCATTTTTAGTTCCATATGAATTTTAGGATTGTTTTTTCTAGTTCTGTGAAAAATAATGGTGATATTTTGATGGAAATTGCATTGAATTTGTAATTGTTTTGGCAGTATGGTCATTTTCATAATATTGATTATATCCATCCATGAGCGTGGGATGTATTTCCATTTGTTTGTGTTGTTTATTATTTCTTTCAGCAGTGTTTTGTAGTTTTCCTTGAAGAGTTCTTTTGACTCCTTGGTTAGGTATATTCCTAAGTATTTTATTTTATTTTTGCAGTTATTATAAAAGGGATTGAGTTCTTGATTTGATTATTATCTTGGTTGCTCTTGGTATATACCAGAGCTACTGATTTGTGTACCTTAATTTTGTACCCTGAAACTTTGCTGAATTCATTTTCAGTTCTAGGAGCTTTTTGGAGGAGTCTTTAGGGTTTTCTAGGTATACAATCATATTATCAGCAGTGACAGTTTGACTTCCTCTTTACTAAATTGGATGCCCTTTATTTCTTTCTCCTGTCTGATTGCTCTGTCTAGAACTTCCAGTACAATGTTGAATAGAAGTGGTAAGAGTGGGCATTCTTGTCTTGTTCCAGTTCTCAGGAGGAATGCTTTCAACTTTTCCCCATTCAGTATAATGTTGGCTGTACTTAATTATACATTTAGTATAATTAAGATATGTCCCTTCTGTGCCAATTTTACTGAGGGTTTTAATCATAAAGAGATGCTGGATTTTGTCAAATGCTTTTTCTGCATCTATTGAGATGATCAGGTGATTTTTATTTTTAATTCTGTTTATGTGGTGTATCACATTTATTGACTTGAGTATGTTAAACCATCCCTGCATCCCTGGTATGAAACACACTTGATAATGATGGACTATCTTTTCAATATGCTGTTGGATTCAGTTAGCTAGTATTTTGTTAAGGATTTTTGCATCTATCTTCATCAGGGATATTGGTCTGTAGTTTTCTTTTTTTGTTATGTCCTTTCCTGATTTGGGTATTAGGGTGATACTGGCTTGTATGATTTAGGGAGGATTCCCTCTTTCTCTATTTGTAGAACAGTGTCAGTAGGAATTTGATCCAGCAATCCCACTACTGGCTATCTACCCAGAAAAAAAGGAGTCATTATATGAAAAAGATACTTGCACACACATGTTTATAGCAGCACAATTCACAATTGCAAAAATATGCAACCAGCCCTAATGCCCATCAATCAACACATGGATAAAGAAATTGTATAGATACACCATGAAATACTACTCAGCCATAAAAAGGAACAAAATAATGGTATTTGCAGCAACCTGGATGGAATTGGAGACCATTATTCTAAGTGAAGTAACTCAGGAATGGGAAACCAAACATTGTATGTTCTCACTCATAAGTGGGAGCTAAGCTATGAGGACGCAAAGGCATAAGAATGATATAATGGACTCTGGGGATTTGGGGGAAAGGAATGGGGGGGGTGAGGGATACAAGACAACAAACTGGGCACCTTGTATACTTCTCAGGTGATGGGTACACCAAAATCTCAGCAATCACCACTAAAGAAGTTACTCATATAAGCAAACATCGCCTGTTCCCCAAAAACCTATGGAAATAATTCTTTTTTTTTTTTTTTTTTTTTTTTTTTTTGAGACAGAGTCTCACTCTGTTGCCCAGGCTGGAGTGCAGTGGTGTGATCTCGGCTCACTGCAACCTCCACCTCCCAGGTTCAAGTGATTCTGCTGCCTCAGCCTCCTGAATAGCTGAAATTACAGGTACACGCCACCATGCCCAGCAAATTTTTGTATTTTTAGTAGAGACAGGATTTCACCATGTTGGCCAGGCTGGTCTCGAACTCCTGACATCAGGTAATCCACCGACCTTGGCCTCCCAAAGTGCTGAGATTACAGGCGTGAGCCACCTCGCCCGGCTGGAAATAATTTTTTTAAAGGCTACTATCTGAACTCTGAAGACCACTTCCTCCAGTCCCATCTGCAATTCAGCCATCCATCCCTGTGCTGCAGCTGTCTACAATCATTCCTAATATTAAGCACCCTTGCTTAAGGGCAGACAGAGACATTTTCAGATTTTTTAAAGAATTTATCATTAGGAATAGTTATGTGGTTCCAGATCTATCCTCTTGGGAGATTCAAAAGTTGTTTGTTTGTTTGTTTGTTTGTTTTTACTTTAAATCCTGCTCATGAGTTTTAAAAAATGGCTTCTTAGGTGCAAGTTCATAGCTAAATGATTGAGAGTGCCACCTGCCGGGAACACCTGAAATTCCTGGACTTGCATATTGAATTGCAAGTTTCCTGGACCCAAAGCATTTGAATCAAACTGAGACCCTCTGGTTACAAATGAGGACTCAGTCTCTACGGCTACAGAATTTGCATTTTAAAACAGTTTTGGGGTGCCTTGAGGTTTAAGAAACAAATGTCTTAGTTCCCAAACTTGCCTGATAAGAATCACCCGGGAATTTTTGTTTGTTTGAGACAGCGTCTCATTCTGTCCCACCCCAGAGTGTAGAGACACAATCGTAGCTCACTGCAGCCTTCAATTCCTGGGCTCAAGCGATCCTCCCACCTGAGCCTCCCAAGTAGCTAGGACTAAAAGCACCCAACACCACGCCCTCCTGATTTTTGTATTTTTCTTTTGTAGAGATGGAGTCTTGCTATATTGACAAGCTGGTTTTGAACTCCTGGGCTCAAGTGATCCTCTGGCCTTGGCCTCCCAAAGTGCTGGGATTACAGACATGAGCCACTGTGCCCAGCCAGAATGCTTGTTTAAAATATTTTTACTCCGGATCACATTACAGACTTACTGAATTCGTATTTCCAAGAAAGGTGCCTGGGACTTGAGATTTGTATAAAACCATCAGATGAATATTAAAAGCTGAAATAGATTCTCTATACCAGGGTAGAAGAGCACAATTGTTGATTTTGTTTTTTTTTTAAGCAGATAATTGATAACTAGAATATGAAACATCTAGGTCTGGGAATATGGCAACACTACCACAATCAAGTTGTCCCTGGATTCTCTGTCCCATAATTCAGCTCTGTGGTCTTAAGTGCCAGCCCCTTCCCTAAAATTCTTGCCATTAAACCCCAGGCTCCCAGGCTGGGCAGGGTGGCTCAAGCCTATAATCTCAGCACTTTGGAAAACCGGGGGGGGGTGGGGGGGGCGTGGATCACCTGAGGTCAGGAGTTCGAGACCAGCCTGGCCAACATGGTGAAGCCAGGTCACTATTAAAATACAAAGATTAGCTGGGCGTGGTGGCGGGCGCTTGTAGTCGCAGCTAATCGGGAGGCTGAAGCAGGAGACTTGCTTGAACCTGGGAGGTGGAGGTTGCAGTGAGCCAAGATCACACCACTGCACTCCAACCTGAGCGACAGCAGGAGACTCCATCAAAACACACACACACACACACACACACACACACACACACACACAATCAAAAAAACTCCCAGGCTCCCAGTGGCTTCCTCTGATACCAGCTAACACATTTGTGATGCCAACTGCCTGACAGGCAGAGCTCCTGTTGGAAAGCCCTCCTACAACCTATCTTGTTTGCTTTGTGAACGGTTTTATTAGGTTGGTGCAAAAGTAATTGCGGTTTAGCCATTACTTTCAATGGCAAAAGCCACAATTACTTCTGCACTTACCCCAATTTTTTTTTTTTTTTTTTTTTTGAGCCGGATTCTCCTGCTGTTGCCCAGTCTGGAGTGCAGTGGCGCGATCTCGGCTCACTGCAAGCTCCGCCTCCCGGGTTCACGCCATTCTCCTGCTTCAGCCTCCCGAGTAGCTGGGACTACAGGCCCCCACCACCACGCCTGGCTAATTTTTTGTATTTTTAGTAGAGACGGAGTTTCACAGTGTTAGCACTTACCCCGATTTTCTCCTGTGAAGCAATGTCCTAGGTTTGGAACTACCTTTGGGATCGCATTGTGTCCAAAAGAACCAAATTCCAGCTTTGGGCAATGGTCAGATACTGAAACTGACCAGTCCTAATATCTATCTGGATTTGGTCCAAGGTCCTGCCCTATCACAACTACTTGAGCGAACACATAAGATGTGTCATTGTCTTCATAAGACACAGAAGATAGTCATTGTCTTCTCTTCTTCAAGTTAAATAAAAAGTCCCAGTTACTTTAAAATAGCCTGTGGTATTTGAAAAAAAAAAAAAAAAAACTCTCTGCACAGTTAAGCCCAGGACCAGGATAGCATGGGTTACAAGAAATACAAACAGAGCCTTAAATATTGTAGGTCATGAGTATAGTAGAGGGAGAAACAGAATGCAAAATTTCCCAAAGTTAACCACAAAATTCAATTCTTTTTTTTCTTTTCTTTTTTCTTTTTTTTTTTTTTTGTAGGCCATCTCATGAGACTAGCCATCCTGCGGAACATACCTTGGGGAAGTATTTTTTTCTTCTTCTTTATAACCATTTTGGGGCTTTGTTTTGAATTGTCTGTGTTTTTCTTTAGTCGTGAGATTCAGAACAAATACCTGTGTCAGGAATGGGCTAATCTAGGTTGCACAGGATGGAGGAGACTTTACAGTTTCCACACCATTGGTTTCTTTTTCAACAACTGAGTGTTCTGTTTGATCAACTTCAAAGCAGCTCTGCTAACCATAACACTCCTGTTTACCACGTTTCTCAGCTTTCCTTGCATTCCACAGTATTTCCTTCCTTATGTTTGACCCATTTCTCCCCCAGATGTACCAACCCGCATAGTGAGTCAAAGAACTGACAATGGCTTTTGGTCAGTGGTTTTCCAGTAGCTCTGCAAAGTTTTGGGCTTCCACTGAGTTTCTCAGAAGCTGCCTGAAAATTCATGAATTGGCTCTAGACCCTTCCACCCACAACCCCAAATCAAGCTTTCTGCTTCTTTGTATTTCATATCAAGGCCTGTGTAAGACTGGAAAAAGGGATTTCTCAACTCGGCAATTTGAAAACGACTCATTTAAGTTATCACCTGTTCTCAGGCATATTATGTTAAGTGTCCAAAGAACAACCCAGATGGTTTTCATAATACCGCGATGTAGCAAGCAATGCTTTTGAAATCATCTCTGTGCTCCCTGCTTAGTGACTCTCTAACCCTTGCAGGAGGAGCTATGGAAGCCCCACTTCATCCCAGATTCTGAGACAAGCCTGGCACCTGTCAGCAAATAGTTAAGGAGTTCCCAAACCAGTAAGTTAAGGAGTCCCAAACCAGTAAGTGCCTCAGAGATTCAGGACGTGATTACGCTGCCTGCTACTCCTGACCTGGCTCTGAAAACCTTGTGTCCAAACCCCCGCCTGGAAACCCACAGTCCCAATAACTGAGTCCCTGTCTTGACTCTCTGCACCATCCTTCAGTTCCTACAGGCTCAGCCTTTCCTTGCCCCCTCCCCCAAGGTTTTGGAAATTAGAGTCTTCTACCAGCCACTCTGGTAGGGGCCTGTTTGCTGAATGCTATTTACCACCCGTGTTCTTATCAGTTGCCAGGGCTAGGCACTGTTTGATGTCTGGTTCTGAGCCATTTCTGGTTTGATCTGCTCTCCACCCTGACCTTCCCACTCATCTAAGCAGCTTATTGTCTCTGCCAAGCCCAGACTTAGATTGTCTTTAAAAATCCAAATTTATGGCCAGGTGCAGTGGCTTACACCTGTAATCCCAGCCTTTTGGGAGGCCGAGGAGGGTGGATCACCTGAGGTCGGGAGTTTGAGACCAGCCTGACCAACATGGAGAAACCCTGTCTCTACTAAAAATACAAAATTAGCTGGGCATGGTGGCGCATGCCTGTAATCCTAGCTACTCGGGAGGCGGAGGCAGGAGAATCGCTTGAACCCGGGAGGCGGAGGTTGCAGTGAGCTGACATCATGCCATTGCACTCCAGCTTGGACAACAAGAGTGAAACTCCATCTCAAAAAAAAAAAAAAAAAAGAAAAAAAAAACAAATTTATATGTATCTATGTAAATAGAGGGGCCTCCTCTTCCCTGAGCCTTGAACAGACAGCAGACCCTGGACCTTGCATACATAGGAGCTGGTTCTATGTCCCCAGGACTTGTCTGCCTTTAGCTACCCTTAGGGACAAACCTACCTCCTCACCATGTACTCTCCCACCAATTCAACATGGACTGTGATGTCTTGACAATGGAAGGATGTCTTACTCCTTACACATGGGCTGAGTTCACATCCCATTTAAGACTTTGTATATGCCTTTTCCAAATGGTTTTCTTTGTCCAAGGCCCTAACATTTATCTCCTTTCCTAACATTGCGCTGTGGCGCTGTGACCTAACAATGGGCCACTGTGTTCTGCCATCATTTTGGAAAAACTTCTCTAACAACCATCATTCTTATTTCTCACCTCTTAGGATCATTGGCCTCATTGAGATCTTCACGAAGGCTATAGACCCGTGCTGTCCACTATGGTAGCACTAACTACTTATAGCTATTCAAGTTTAAAATTAAATTAAAGGCTGAGGCAGGAGGATCACTTGAGCTCAGGAGTTCGAGACCAGCCTGGGCAACATGGCAAAATCCTGTCACTATCAAAAATACAAGGAATTAGCTGGGCGTGGTGGCGTGCACCTGTGGTCCCAGCTACTCAGGAGGCTGAGGTGGGAGGACCACTTGAGTTAAGGAGGCAGAGGTTGCAGTAAGCCAAGATCATACCACTGCAC
Source organism: Homo sapiens (assembly GCF_000001405.40). NCBI lineage: Eukaryota > Metazoa > Chordata > Mammalia > Primates > Hominidae > Homo > Homo sapiens. Next base: position 34,362,312 of record NC_000011.10, on the reverse strand, counting down.
TACAGCCTGAGTGACAGTGAGACCCCATCTCAAAAATAATTAATTAATTAAAATTTAAGACTCAGTTCTTCAGTCACAATAGCTAGATTTCAAGTTGCAGCCACAAGTGGTTAGTGGCTTCTGTATTTGATAGCACAGATATGGAACCTTTTTCTTTATCTCAGAAAGTTCTATCAGACAGTCCTGCCTAGAGGCATTGACCCTCTCTCCAGAATATGCAAATATGTACTCATATTAAAAATGTTGTAGGCAATTTTAGGTGATTCAAAGACACTCCCCACTTCCTAAGCCCACCTCCCCAAGGTGTTAGGAACCCCTTTCTGATGTGGGTGGGGGCTGGGCATAGTGGCTCATGCCTGTAATTCCCACACTTTGGGAGGCTGAGGCGGGCAGATCACTTAAGGTCAGAAGTTTGAGACCAGCCTGGCCAGTATGGTGAACCCGTCTCTACTAAAAACACAAAAATTAGCCAGAAGTGGTGGCACATGCCTGTAGTCCCCACTACTTGGTAGGCTGAGGCAGGAGAATCTCTTGAACCTGGGAGGTGGAGGTTTCAGTGAGCCGAGATAGCACCACTGCACTTCAGCCTGAATGACAGAGTGGGACTCTGTCTCAAAAATAATAATAATATGGATGGGGAGCACATGACTCTCCTAAAGTCTATGGAGGAGGCAGGTATCAGGAAAATCTCAGTTCAGATGTCAGTAATCCTTTTCCCTTAACACACAGTCTTAAGCACCTGCTGGTTCCTTGAGAGTTTAAAAAGAAACCTAGCTGTTCATTACATTGCCCCATTCATCCTGTTAGTTTCATTCATTCACTTATTCAATATTTATTGAGCTCCTACTTTACGCTCATACTGACCTAGGCAATGGGATACAAAAGTGAACTCAATGGAGAAGATCCCTTCCCTCATGGAGCTTATATTCTTGTAGGACAGAAAGACAACCAACAAACAAGCAGGTAATGCTCTCTGCTCTATAAACTTAGTTTTCTCCAATTAATTTCAAATCTATTTCTGTAAGCCTGAACATGTTAATTCTCTGCTTAAAGACATTCCCTCCTGACTAGGAGAGTTGATTAAAACCACCTGTGGGAGTTAAAGATCTACATCTGCCAAATGCACTGAAGGTGATCCACAAACTAAATTAAAATTTGGCCACTCTCCAAAGTCAAGGCCATAATCTACCTTTCTCATGAGACAGTTCTGTCTGTAAATAGTTGGGATTATAACACCCTCACTTTCAAGGTAAATTCCAGGGTATTTTATCTCCTAATTTCCAGATTGTTTTTGATTGTGTAAGCACATAGAAGACCTCACACCAGGTAAAGTTTCTAAAGTTTACTTCAAGCTACCTCTGTTACATGATTTTTGCGTGGGTAATCCGAGATCTGCTTCTTAATTGTCAACTCCACTTGGAATTGTTCCAATGTTTGCCAGTGTTCTGTTATGTTCTTTTCTCCTTGTCCAGCTTAATGACAGCTGTTTTTCTTCAAAAACAATGTTTCTTCAAAAATAATGTTTGGGTAAGGCCCGAGTTGGGATGACATTTTCTCTTAATATAATTTGCATTCTTAAAATCAAACACATTACCAGCAGATTGGCTTAACTGAACACATGCACGTATATATAAGAAACCATGTCCTTTCTTTCCTTGACCCAAAGTTTTGTATTTCACCACACTGGCCAACTCCCAAAAGTTGAACTGAAATCAAAGAATTGGTTCATTCTAAGATGGCTGGATATATATATATATATATATATATATATATATATATATATATATTCATCTCTATCTATCTTCCTCCTATTCTTTTTCCCATATCACACAAAACACAAACACAGACACATTCTGGGTTTACTTGGTACTGCCAGTCCTCAGGCTGACTAGAAGACTGAGGAAAATTTGAAAGACAAGAGATCTATCTACAGTCTTTCCTAACTTCCTAGTCCCTTTACCAGATTTTTCCATGAGGATTTGTCTTCCTTTTTTCCTTGAGGAAGCCAACTCTTGAGGGCTACAAAACACTTATTTCAGCATGTGTCTCTAAAAGATAAGAACATTTGATAAATATAACCACACTACCATTACCACATCAAAAAAAAAAAAACAGTTATTCTTTAAGAGCAAACATCGAGGCAGTGTTCCTAATGGTTTCATAATGTCAAATGTTTACTGGCTTTTTAAAACAAATTCAAAATACACATAAGTTCCACACCTTGTAATTGGTTATTATGTCTTTCAAGTCTCTTTAAATGTGTAGGTCTTCTCTCCATCTCTTTCTTTCCTTGAAACTTATTTATTAAAGAAACTCAGTTGTTTGTTCAGAAGCATTTCCCATGGCTGAATTTTGCATAATATATCTTCATGTTGCAGGTCAACATTCACAGGATTCTCAGATTCAGTTGGAGGCATGTTTGATTATCTACACTTTAAGTCATCAAGTAATTTGAATATATTAATATAAATCCCATAGGCTCTTTTTCCCACTCCAGATGATTCCTCCAATAACCTTTCATTCAGTAAGTTCCCCGTTGTAAATTTCCAGTTAAGTAATTCTCTTTAGGTTTGATGGGTGCGCACAACGAAGAAAAGGGGGGACAGGGAAACCTTTCTGAAATTCATTTCCTTTGAATATATCCATTAGAGGGCGACATTGCCTTTAATATTATATTTCCCCAATAAAGTTTTAAATTGCATAAAATTTACTTTTGTATTTTTGACAAGTTGGACCTCATTGCCTACTTTAATTTCTAATCTCACGTCTGTAAAGTGTGACTGCATTCTCCTTTGTTAGTTTGATCTCTGCTGACTTGCGTCTTTGGTATTACAGTACTTCCATCTTTGACTCTGTTCCCAATTCTAACCATCGGGCGGCGATGTTGCATAAATAAAGACCCGCGGAAAGGCAAAATTAAGCGAAACTGCCAAATAAAAAGCAGTTTCACCGGGGGTAAAGGCCATTAATTTAAGAAGGAAAGAGACAAACCAGACATTTCTAGTTCATATCCAACTCACGGCCCAAGGTCAGAACTGTGTAAAATGCAACACAAAGGAGCCATTCAGGAGTGGGGGAGGCTGACTTGGGGAGAGCGAATGCACAATCCCCGCCTTGAGCCTGCGGTTCCACTGGAGGGGGCACAGGTCCGTTTGCGCACGTGCGTGTGAGTAGCCACAGGGCAGCGGCGGGACATGCCTGCACCGGGCATGGGACTGCTGAACCAACAGCGCTCTGGCGGACCGTTTGGGACACCCGCCCGGAGGCAGGTTGGCACTGGCGCTGCCTGGAGGTCAGCCACTCATTGTACCCCGGAGGAACTGGGTCCCGCGGGGGCATACGGCTCGCCCACCGGCACGCGTTAGGAGGCGAACACCTGCATCCAGCTAGGTGTTCCGAGCTCAGCCCAGGGCGAGGGACTGCTCTGCCACCTTCTTCTCATTCTTCCTGTAAGAACACTGTCTATCTCGGACAAAAAGGACCCACCTGACAGCAAGTGGTATCGTCACACAGAGGTAACAGGGAAGTCACGGATCCTCTTGAGAATCTGACAAAAGTTGGTGCCCCTTCCCCATAGTGGCACTCAGAAAACTGCAGGTGAAACCACAAATGGGCGGAGGCACTCACAGGCTTCCTGGGGCCCGTCCATTGATCAGATACCAGGTTAAGAAATTCTGTCCTTATTGGAGCCTAGACGGCAGCGCAAAGGAACCAGACGGACTTGGAAAGAGAGGCAGGGACTCCCTCCTCCCTCCAAACACAGCCAGCGTTTCATCTCGGATTGCGGGAGGGGCCTGGCGGAAGGTGGAGGAGAGGTGGAGCGCCTGGATGGGGCCCTCCCCATTCTCCTGGCCCCAACCCCAGGACGCCTGGCTGCGGAGGGCTCGAAAGCGAGCAGCGAACGCCCAAAGCCTGGGTGGCGGGAAGGTGGCAGCGCCCTGTAGCTTTTCCTTTGCATTTTTCTTTAAATCGTGAGCTCCGGAGCTATCGTTTCGACCGCTGCTTTCCGGTCTCCACCTCCACCTCCCAGTTGGCTGGCTCGCCCTTCCCCCACCCCCCCATCCCCCCCATCCCCCCCCATCCCCACCCCCATCCCAGCCGCGTGCCCGACCCTCGGCCTCCAGCCCCGCCTCCTTCGCCGCGGGGTTTAACCCGAGGCAGAGTGAAATCTGCATAGTGACCGCCCCCTCGGAGATCATTGGTGCAGCCCCGCCCATCGCGGCCGGTGATTGGTAAGCCGCCCGGGGTTATTTGCATGTCGGACGCAGCCGGGTACCCAGCTGTGCTGCCGGCCGGCGCAGCGCAGAAGTTTGCAGAGCGCTTTCTCGCCGGCTGGTCCCGGACTCGCGCTGCGCCCTGCGCCCTGCGCCGCCGCCTCCTCCTTCTGCCGCCGCCGCCCTGTTCTCCCGGGATTCCTTCTCTGTGGAGGACTGACTCTCTGCTTGTGGGAATTAGAGGTGGACAAGGGGGAGTGCCGGGGGGTAGCGACGGGGTTCTTTCCAGTGGCAGCTGCGAGTCGGGACGCCGGGAGCGTGGGGCTCCTGCTGGCCACGGATCTCGGCCACCTTCCCGCGGCCTCCGGGCAGGCAATGCGGCCGCCGAGCCCCGCGACGCAGAGAGGAAGGAGGGTGGCCCGGAGGGCCTAGAGCTTGTTTCTGCCCACTTGGGAAAGAGGGCATGGAGTTGTGAGTGCCCCTCGCTCGGCGACGCCGCCCTCGGCAGGCTCCCCATGGCCGGGACGTACAGCTCGACTCTGAAGACGCTGGAGGACTTGACCTTGGACTCCGGGTATGGGGCCGGGGACTCGTGCCGCTCGCTCAGCCTCTCGTCCTCCAAGTCCAACTCGCAGGCGCTCAACTCTTCGGCGCAGCAGCACCGCGGGGCGGCCTGGTGGTGCTACTCCGGCTCCATGAACAGCCGCCACAACAGCTGGGACACGGTGAACACGGTGCTGCCCGAGGACCCCGAAGTGGCCGACCTCTTCTCGCGCTGTCCGCGGCTCCCCGAGCTGGAGGAGTTCCCCTGGACCGAAGGAGACGTGGCCCGGGTGCTCCGCAAAGGCGCTGGCGGCCGGCGGCTGCCCCAGTTCTCCGCCGAGGCGGTGAGGCGCCTGGCCGGGCTGCTCCGCAGGGCACTGATCCGCGTGGCCCGCGAGGCGCAGCGCCTGAGCGTGCTGCACGCCAAGTGCACCCGCTTTGAGGTGCAGAGCGCCGTGCGCCTGGTGCACAGCTGGGCGCTGGCCGAGAGCTGCGCGCTGGCAGCCGTCAAGGCGCTGTCCCTGTACAGCATGAGCGCCGGCGACGGGCTGCGCCGGGGCAAGTCCGCGCGCTGCGGCCTCACCTTCTCAGTGGGTCGCTTTTTCCGCTGGATGGTGGACACCCGAATCTCCGTGCGCATCCACGAGTACGCAGCCATCTCCCTCACCGCCTGCATGGAGAACCTGGTGGAGGAGATCCGGGCCAGGGTGATGGCCAGCCACAGCCCTGATGGCGGAGGGGCCGGAGGCGGGGAGGTGTCTGCTGAGGCCCTGGAGATGGTCATCAACAACGACGCCGAGCTCTGGGGCGTCTTGCAGCCCTATGAGCATCTCATCTGCGGCAAGAACGCCAATGGTAAGCGCGCGGGCCTCGGACTGGCAGACTGGGTAGGCAAGAAATCCCGCCCTGGGCTACTGGGGGAGTGAATTTCCTGAGACAAAGCTGGTGGCTGTGCCAGTTCTTTGGGAGAAAACGTTTGGTCTGAGGATAGGGTTCATTACATGGCACTTGCCAGAGATTGTTCTAAGGGTGTCTGACTTTTGGAGGGTAAACTTGTGAATGATCTCCATCCTGTTCTGCGTGGCATTGTTACTATCTGCGGGCTGTTCATTGATTGGGTGAGATTGAATCTCTTGACCAAGCCATTCCTGAACCTCTCTTGAAATGAAACTTACTGCCCCGTGGCTCTTTACCGTGATTGACTAGGTCTCTAGCTGCTGTCTTTCCCCAACAGCTGGTTAGATTGACTGATTCTGCCCCCTAGTTTTCCCCAGCTCAATAGCAGCAACCAAAGGGTCCCAACTTAAAGACCTGAACCTTGGATAAGTAAGATGGGCGGAGGGAAGTGGGAAGCCCAAGATCTGGTGCTGCGCCTTGTGCTTTGCTGGGCTGAAGGATGCTGTCAGGCGCTCTCTTGGGGGATGGAGGGGTAGTGGTTCGCTCTTACCTATATGTGCCCAGGAATGATGAAACCTGGGGACCCCGACTCCCCTTCCCAGAAAAGTAACCACAGATTGTCTCCTGAGACCTGATTTTTCCAAGCTGTCACCAACCAAGTGAGCCATTGGTTAAAACCTTGCATTGTATTAAATGTTCTTTCCTGAAAAGAGTGGTGGCCCATCAAGGGGAAGAGATAGGTAACCGCATGGGGTCAAGTCTGGGAAAGGAACCATTGGGTGGTTGCACTTCCCTGAAGATAGCATGGATTTGGTGCAAAGGATGGAAACAAAGCACATGACCTTTTCCCTGACAATGTTAGGGGGTGTGACATTGCATTCAACTGCAAACTACCTACAAGACTTCAGTTTGAGAAGTCAGCACCATAAACTGTTCAGAATGGTATTATGGTTAAACAGCCTTACGATCTGATTGGAAGGCCATTTGGGGGGCAGCTTTCAGTGGCAAATAAGCAGGCAGTGGAAGAGGTCAGGTGGGGACTGGAAAGGGATAAAAGAAGTCAAAACATGGTTTAACATAATCATAATAGCTGAAATGCAAAATAACCCTTAATGTGTCGTCATTATTCTCAGCACTTTGTATTTAACTCAAGTACTCCTAGCAAGCCTATTAGGTAGGTACTTACTGCATAGTATGATGCCCATTTTACAGATAAGGAAACCAAGGTACCCAGCAGTTAAATAATCTGCCCAACATTACATAGATGTTAAATGGCAAAACTGGAATTTGAATCCAGTTTGAATCCAGGTAGGCCCCTTTAAGGTTCTAGATGCTGGTGGAGAAGAAACAGCTTTGTTTTTCTGGTTTGTTGTTGTTGTTTGTTTGTTTGTTTTTCTTACTGGACTATAGCTCTCAGATCTTATGCTTTGTTTTTTGATTAGCCCAGTTTTCGAGAACAGTTGACATGTTAGGCCCATTTTGAAGACACTCTGTACCAAGCATGGCTTACTTTGACATTATTGGTTTTGTTTTTAAATTCTGGCACTGCCAAAGGAGATGCTGGGAATTGAAGAGCATCTGCTGCTTAATTTTCTTCCTCTTAGGTCAGAGCTAAGGTCAGTCCTGAATCTCAGTTGATGATGTCACAGCTGCTTGTTGTGCCTCACCCTCCAGGTTTGTGGCATCAACACTGGGAACAGCAGCTCCAGGGCAGGAAGTGGAGGGCCAGGGGATTTCCATCTCCAGTGGTCATAATTGAGGGAAAGAGTTCTGTACTTTTGGCTGAGAGGAGGCCCAAACTGAACTCAAAGAAGTAAAGGCAGGCTCCTAGGAGAAAAGACTGAAGACCTAACCCTATAAGCCAAACAAGAATAAGGGTGGAACTGTAAATGCAAAACAAAACAAAAACATATATTCATGCAGAACAGGTGCCCAGCACATTGAGAAGCTTCTCCCAGCTTTTCTAACTGCAAATTGAAATAAGGAAGACCAACTCCCTGCCCAGGACACCCTGAAGATGCGAAGTGGCCAGAAGCTGCTAGAAAACAGATGTCTTCTGCTAAAGGGCTTCCAACCAAAGAACTATTTCTTATCTAGGGTCAGCATTCCTTGGGATTTCCTTTATAAGTTGGTCTTTTGGCACCACCTACCCCCCCACCCCCACCCCCCAGCTCCACCACCACCTTTTGTTTTTTTAAATAGAGACAGGGTTTTGCTATGTTGCCCAGGCTGGTTTCAAACTCCTGGGCTCCAGCAGTCCTCCTGCCTCGGCCTCTCAAAATGTTGGGATTACAGGCGACAGGCGTGAGCCACCACACTCAGCCACGACCCCATGTTTTAACCTCCTCCTTGCCCCCCCTTTCCAAACAATCCTCCTTAATCCTGGGTAGTCAAGAGAGCAGGATTCTCTGTGGCAGACAACAAAGCTCCCCGGATGCTCAGAGTCAAAGTGTCTCCCTCTGTACCTTCTCGGGTCTCCAGGGAACTCTCTTGCAGGCGAGGTGACCATTCACTTCCACTTAGCAACTGGATGCTCATTTTTTATACATGAAAACCAGGGGGTGGCCACATTAAACAATAACCAGGCTGATTTATTAAGTCCCTTTAGACAAAGTGAAATGAATGTTTAGTAGAGGGGCAATGAATTACTTATGTCTGAAAGCTGGCTTCAGAGGGAAGCATACACTGCTTAGGAACAAAATGGAGTGGTCCAAACCTTTGTTATATTAAAATTACCCCAAGGCCAGCAAGGTAACGGTTTACACAGCTGAAGACCAACTGGGGAATGACTGCGTATGGGAAGGAGAGTGCTGGTTAGAATTCTTGTCCTGCTGGTCTTCCCTTTAAATTATAAATTTATTGTTGATATGCCTGCTAATTATACAGCATGGGCACATGCATTTGACTCAGCTATATAGGGCTTTTAAACTTAATGTCTTCCAACCAAGAATTTAAGGGCCGTAATCCATCTATTCCTGTCCATTACTCAGAATGCAGGACAAATATGGTTTTGCTCAGCACAAGATGGATAATAAAAGTTCTGCAGTGTTTACAAAACATGATCCCAGCTCCGTAGAGCAGCAGGAGTTATATATTGTTGCTCATTTGGTATTGATGTCCCCAATCCCATGGCAAGGCCATTAAATGATGATATCTTCATGACTTCCTTACGGGAGGTAGAGAAACCAATTTAATAGAGCAGTATTTATAAACAGGTAGTTTGCACAAAATAGAAACTTTTCGCATCCACTCATATCCCTCCCTACTCTCCTCTCTCCTCTCTCTCCCTCCTCTCCCCCATCACTTCCCATAGGTGAGTTTGATGCTGAGCATCACTACTAGGTTTCTTCTTGGTCATTCTTCTTACTAAGCTTTTGTGAGTGTCTGTGGCATTTTAGAAAATCTTCCTCAATTTCTAGATTCTTGATTAAGTGATAGGATATTGGTGAGAATATTCTTGCTCCAAAGAAGTATCCAGGGTGTACAAAAGGATTGCTCTATCCTAGTGGTAACATGCACAAGACTTTGGATTCACCATGAGAGTTTGAAGCCTACCTTTGCCATTTATTTTGTTTTATTTTGTTATTTGTTTATTTTGAGACAGAGTCTTGCTGTATCACCCAGGCTGGAGTGCAGTGGTAAAATCGTAGTTCACTGCAACCTTGAACTCCTGGGTTCTAAGGGTTCCTCCTGCCTCAGCCTCCCAAGTGGCTGGGACTGCAGGCATATGCCACCACACCCAGCTAATTTTTAAAATTTTATTTTTGTAGAGACAGGGTCTTGCTATGTTGCCCAGGCTGGCCTTAAACTCCTGGGCTCAAGGGATTCTCCCGCTTCAGCCTCCCAGAGTGCTGGGATTACAGGCATGACCCATCATGCCTGGCCATACACAACTTTGCCATTTACATGAGTGGCCTGGTGCAATTTTCTTAACCATTCTAACCTTCAATTTTGTCATCTGCAAAATGGGACATAGTAAGAGCACCTAGCTTATATGGGTGGTATGAGAATTAAATGAGACTATAGATTGAAAGATCTTAGCACATAGTAAATGCTCAATAAATAGTAAATTCATTCAACAATTATTGAGCACTGACCCTGTACCCACCACTGTTAAAAGTGCTGTGGACTAAGTGATGAACAAGGGGAAAAGCCCTCCTCTCATGAAGTTTATAATCCAGTGGAGGAAATGAGAAAAAGTAAATAAGCAAGGATTTTCTCTTGGTAATGAGTGTTGTTTAAAATATTTTTTTTAAAGGGCAGGGTAATGGGATGGTGTGACGGGGCTAATTTAAATGACAGTCAAGGAATGCTTCTCTGAAGGTTTATTAGTAATAGCCAGTAATATCAATACTACTAAGGACCTTTAGGCCAAAAATAGTGACTGAGGACTTTTCTGAATGATTCAGTTATTCACCAGCTGAGAGAAGTCTCAACATCTCACTTAGAGCTGAGAAAGAAAAGGGCTGCATGTAGAGCAGGGACGAAACCTCTTCTGGTTGTGGGATTTATTTAGTGATGAGATTGTAGGATGAATTTCTACTGAGAGAAGCAACTGAAGCAGCAAGGGTTGATTGAGCTTGTCAGGTGGTGTTTAATCAGTTTCCACACCTGGGTAGTCTGAAGGATGAGGGCTGCTTCCTATCTCTTTAACCATTTTATTAAAGCCAAGAGAGTTGGTAAAACTGAAACAGAGCAAGCTTTGGAAATGAAAAATTTTTTTTTCTCGCACGCCTGAGAAAGGCAACCCTAGCCTTAAGTAGTAAGAGGAACAAGGTAGAGTTGTTCCACTTCCTCCTACTGAAAGCTCTACCTGACTCCCCCAGCTGGAAGAGCCACCCCTTTGTGATGTTTCCTCAGCACCCAGGACATATTCTTAAATCATTTCCTGCTTGTGTGTGTCTCTCCCATAAAACTGTGCACTTCATAGGCATTGCTGTCTTCCCTGTACCTCTCATGGTGTCTACAATATGTGCTCTATAAATGATGGGCAAATGATAGATCCCGCCATACAGGTTTAAAATTTGTATTTGAATTCCTTTGATATATCAGAACCGTCCCCATTTCTACCAAGGCAGAAAATTTCCAAGTTGTTCTCAATGAATAGAGTCAGCATTTTGGGGCTACATCCAACCTTTGGGTACCCTGCTTTCTAGCAGGGTTCCCAAGTCTGGCTTTGATGTGCAAGATGTGAGTTGGGGGAATTTTCAGTTTAGGAGAATGTCTTCAGTGTACAATACCCAAGAGGAAGGGCTTCACAACAGACGTCTGGTACAGCAGGCCACAGAAAAGTCAACAGGAGGATTGAGTTGAAGGTTTCCTTAAGAATGGAAATACCAACCGCCCCCTTGCCAACAGAGCTGCCCCAGAGGACAATTTATGTTGATGACTATTGCTCAGAAGAGTTTACATCTGTGTCCCACTCCATCTGCCTCCAGTCTGAGGACTGAACCAAGGTAATCAATTGCCAAGACATTCCTGGGTTGGCATCCCAAGAATGGGAAGTTCTGAAACAAACCAGAGACACTTGGTTGCACATCCTCAGCTTTGTCCTTATCCCACCTCACCATCAGTATTCATCCTTTGTCCGACAGGTCAGTGGGTAGATGCTTCGCCTCTATTTCTACTCTTATGCAGCTGTAGTAATAGGTCTGACTTTTCCACAACACCTCAAGCTTATTCTCATCTGTGAGCTTTCTAGGTCCCCATGAGAATCCTGTGAATGTGTGTCCTTTCACTGAGAGGTCTCCATGAGTCCAGAATTCACAGCTCAATAATAACTAAGCTCAATAATGACTAAGTCCCATTTTGCTCAAGCCCCAGGCCTGTGCTTTTCCTATAAAGAATTACAGAATCCAAGGTAGCAAATACAGGTCAGTACTTGGCCCCATTCAGATGGCAGCTAGGGTCAAACTCATAGCAAGAACAACACTTGTTATAGGTCTTGTTTGTTAATGGCCTATGGTGTCCAGACACTTTACATTTGTTAGGCCAGTGAGTGTTCACGACCACAGTGAAAGAGCAGGCACTGACACCCAGGGGTGTATCTTCCTCCAAAGGTTGCTGTTACTCTGTTTAAATGCTGCTTGCTGGCTCTCCCCACCCTAGAGGTGCCACTGATTTTAAAGAGCCATTATTGCTGCTCCTGGGGATGGAAGAAGAGGGCACAGAGAGCTCTGCTGCCCAGGGAGGGCCTTTATAAGTGTCACCTGCTGGTGACCAATAAGCTCAGCTGAATAGAGAAGCCGCAGAGTACACTGCGATGCTCTTCTAAAGGATGGGCGGGTCAGCTCAGCAAAGGCTAATACATGAAGGAGAGAAGGCACCAAGAGGGATTTGAGTCTAGGTCACTGGTCTTGGGGAGCTTGGTGCACCTGTCCTGGAGTTGGCAGAAGAGCCTGTATGAAGGGGGCTTTGATTTCCTCCGAGTCCCCCATGGTGTCCGGCTGCTGACTCCATCTCGGTGTTTAGAGCACAGGGAGAGAATGAGTCAGCGATGTAGCAAAGCAGTGAAGGGCCCAGACTTTGGAGTCTGAATTGAGTCCCAGATTGATTTGCCTCTTACTGACCTAGGCCTTCAAGCAAGTCACACTATGTTTCTATTTCCTCTACTGTAAAATGAGAGGCTTGTACACATGCGGTTGTGCCTTATGCATACTCAGTGCCCTGGGATGTGAGAGATGCAGCCAGGCTTACTGGTGAGAGCACAGCACGGGGTGGGGCTGCCTGGCTGTAATTCCTCATAACTTCACTTGGGAGCTGTGTGACCCTGGGCAAGTTGTTTCACTTCCGTGCCTTAGTTTCTTCCTTGATCACAGGGCACCATTGACATTTTGGACTGGTTAATGTTTTGTCATGAGGTTGTCTTGGGCATTGTAGGATGCTTCATAGCCACCACCAGTTGAGACCATCAAAAATGTCTCCAGACTTTTCCAGATGTTCCCTGGGGAGCAAATTCACCCTTGGCTGTGAAACACAGCTCTATAAGATAGGACTGAAAATAGTACCCAACTCATAGGATGGTTGTGAGAATTTCATAAGAGTCCCTGTGAGGGACTTTGTGTTATGCCTGACACATAAGATATTCTAATTGTTTTTAACAAACTTGTGTTGGATCCACTGATTGTGTTCATTTTTGCCAAAGTCTCTGGTGCAAGGAGGGTCACGACCCAAATCTCAGGGAGATGGGTATTACTCGCAAGGCTTTCCTTGGTGGCTAACAGTTTGTTTGTGGAGGTAGGAGGAAGTTATGGAATCTGGAAAAGCACCCTTGCACCTTGCTCAGTTATGGCTCGATTACCCCCAACAACAAGTGGTCTGGCAGTGGGCAGAGAGATTAGATCTCACCCTCTGAGCTCAAGCCCATCTCTGCCAGGATGACAGCAAGAGTGCACATTCAAAGCTCCAGGCCCCCAGAGAGCAATTCTCCTGTGGATATTGGACCCTGCTTGTGGCAGCCGCCAAATCCTCAGCCACAGATCATAGCAGGTGTTTTGTGTTTTGCTGGCCTGTCATGTAAACACACTTTGTGGTCTTCCTGCTTGTTTTAAAAAAGGCCTAAGTGCTTTTGCAGCTTTGGTTGTGTGCTTGGAGCTGCATGCAGGATTGGGAGGAGATACATAAGGAACACAGCCCAAGTACTCCTGAGGAATGCCATGCCGGCATCATTAATCAACTGCTCACTGAGTGCCAGCTACATCCAAGGCAATGGAGACAGATTAGCAAGGGACAAGAATCTTGACTGTTTTGAGTTTAGAAGTGTTTAGAATCTAGTAGGGAAAGCAAAGCATATATACAGATAGTTACAAAGAAGTTTATAGTGACCACCTTCAAACAAAGAGGGGAGCAATGGCGATAGACTCCACTGTCTAGTCTTCATTGCTGGTTCCCCATTGCGGGTGCTTTTCAGGAGCTGTTTCATTTAATCCTCCCAGCTCCTCTGGAAGGTAGATATAACTTCCATCCCATAGTTGGGGACCTTAAAGCTTCTGGTGATTAGAAAGCTTAAAGGGAAGAGATGACTCCTGGCTGTCTGGGTGGAAGGAAGTCAGGGTTTCTTTGTGGAGGATGTGGCAGGTGTGCCAGTGATTTGGGCAGGTAGAGCTGCGACTGCGGAGATGGGAGGGGATGCAGAGCCCCCAGAGGCTTCCAGGCAGAGGGAACAGTGTGAGCAAAGACCTGGAAGCCAACGCATATGTGTTGGAGAACAGCAAGTTCTCCTGTTTGGGTGGAAGGTTCAGATACATGACAAGCAGGAACAGTGGAGATAACACAGGAAAAAGGAAAGCTTTCCCACATCTTTTATCCAGATGTTAAGAAGCCTGCCAGAGTACAGGATGAGAGTTTTCCAAAACTTATTTTCATAATTCAGAAATTGAGTGTGTCTTCTCCCTAGCTCATCTTAACCATGGCCCCAGACCTCCAATTACTCCTCTTGGTGATTGAAAGCTTGACCTCAAAAATGCACCCGTCTGCTGTCCTAGCAGTAAAAGCATTAAAAGAAGACCTTAACTGAGCAAACTTGGGTTGTGAGGGGTTGAAGAACAAGGCTTCTATCAACCCTTCTTTTCTTGTTGAATTTGGCTCTGACTTTGCATTTCTTCCGTGGCCCTGAATGTAGCATTACAGGCCAAAGCAATCCCAGTACAGAATGAAGGTCAAGACTGGCAAATGTGTTAAACGAGGCCATTGGATCGACTCTTGCCAAAGCAGGATTCTTAATCGTGGAGCATAAAACAGGGTGAGAGAAGATGGTCCCAGAACTTTTTTTTTTCGGTGTTAAGTCCGACTGATGTATACGATATTCGACTTCCAGTTTAGGGTTTATTATTTTGGACAATAAAAGCTCAATTCTCAGAGATGCTGACATTTTAATTCTTAGTTAATGTGTTTCCAGAGCATTGATAATAAAGATTTCAAGCATATTAAATGCTTAATATTGTGGAACCACCTTATAGCTAATTGTCTTCTGAATTGGAGTCCCTAAGGTGCAGCTGAATTCTGCTGATAATAATAAAATGTGATAGGTCATCAATGGCTTAGCTAATAACTCAGGTGTCGGTCTTTTTCCGGACTCCAGTGTTATGAAGGGAAGGAATTTTCTTGTCACTTGACAAAGATAAACTTCATGAACATATTGCAAAAATACATACACAGTCATTTGTAGTTAGTGACTTGAGGCCCACAGTTTCCTTTCTTTCTTTATTTTTATTATTATTTTTTTGACACAAAGTCTCACTCTGTCACCCAGGTTGGAGTGCAGTGCTGCGATCTCAGCTCACTGCAGCCTCCTCCTTCCAGGTTCAAGCAATTCTTCTGCCTCAGCCTCTCAGTTAGCTGAGATTATAGGCAGGCACCACCACACCTGGCTAATTTTCATATTTTTAGTAGAGACAGGGTTTCACCATGTTGGCCAGGCTGGTCTCGAACTCCTGACCTCAAGCGATCTGCCCGCCGTGGCCTCCCAAAGTGCTGGGATTACAGGCATGAGCCACCATGCCCGGCCCATGGTTTGCTTTCTAAAAGTAAGCTGAGGAGAGTCAGGCCCATGATGGAAAAATTAAACAAGAAAACTAAACTTGGAAGCCTGGACATACAAGGTTAGAGTTGAGGAGACATTAAACTGGACCTCAAAGAGGTTGAAATGGGCCTCTCAGTGCACGAAAACCCTCCCTACAGTTGAGGCCAAGCTTTTATTGAAACCTTTACAACTTTTTTTAGTCTGTACATTTTAAAATATGAAAATTAGTATTTGCTGTGAGGAGAGCTATTAATAAACACAAGCCTGAGGCTCACACACCAAGTGGGTGTACGTGCACAAGCATCCGGAACAATCCAGTACAGAGCTATGAGGATTTGGATCCAGAAAATTCTGGGGTGGAGCTTGCCCCGTCTGTGACCTGGCATGAATCATTCCATCTCTTGGATCTCTGTTTCCTTATCTGTGGTGTGGAGAGGTCAGACTAGATTCCCCAAGGGCTTTTCTGTCTCTGATAGTGTTTCTAGACCCCACATGGACACTGTGCAGTCATTTTCCTAAGGTCGAGCGCTGTAATTAGTATCCTTGGGAAAGAAACACCCAGGATGGTGCTGGACGAGCTCTTTGAAGACCTGGCTTGGTAATAGGGCTGGACACTGTCTTTTTAATATTAAGATTAATTGTGATTACTGTACTCAGGGTTTTCCTGTGCCCCTTTCCCCAGAAAGATGAGTGCTACATGCTTTTGGCCGACCTCATGCTTCAGTGCTTGACAGCTGCATCCAGGTCCTGGCAGGCCGGCACTGTGGTGAGATCCAGCTCCGAGGTGACTTCATATAGCATGTGCTTGAAGCCCGCCTACCCAGACTTGGATATTTATAGCAGGGGAGCAGCTAGAAAAAAAAAATTAAATATGCTACACCCTTCTTTATACGATGTGGGACAGAGACAGGCATTGTGAGGAATTTCAAAGGCAGAGCTGTATAATCCAGCAGGATATTTTTAAATGCTGTTTGTTGCCATTGGCAGGGCCGGTGTTTCAAAGAGGAGGGAAAATGAGAGTAACTGAGGATGACAGGCTGCCAGGAATGCTGAAGGCCGAGACATGGAGCTCCATGCTCCGAGGTATACAGGCTCTGAACCCTGATGTACTTCACAGTCACATAGCTTGAATAGGGCTTGGGCAGGTCAGTATGAGAGGCTGGGGAAATGGGGTGGCTTGCCTGTTTCTCTTCCCCAACCGGCCCATCTACCCGTCAAATCCCAAGTTGAAAATTGATGAAATCTTCTGGAGAGGCAGAACATATGGCAAAAAAAGAGTTGCTTTTGTGAAAGCCAGGGACCTGGTTGTTTCTTCTTCAGCCCATCTCAGCAGCCGGGTAATTAAAGTTGTACATGGGGACACAATTTGGAAGCAAGTTGCTTGCAGCTGTTCTTCTGGACTTAATCCACTTGAGTACCAGCTGGGCAGGCCAGGACTATGCTGGGACCCAATTCAGTAGCAGGTGAGAAGGCCTCAGGGGTAGGGCTGCCTCTGAGAAGGCATCGCAATGTCCCCCACCTGTCCAGTGGGTGCTTGTAAAGTATTCTAAGTAGTGTTTTCTACCACACTGGTCTTTGAGG
This sequence comes from Homo sapiens, assembly GCF_000001405.40. Classification (NCBI taxonomy): domain Eukaryota; kingdom Metazoa; phylum Chordata; class Mammalia; order Primates; family Hominidae; genus Homo; species Homo sapiens. Next base: position 34,345,557 of record NC_000011.10, on the reverse strand, counting down.
AGACAAATGATGATGGCGGGGGTGGGGAGTCTGAGGACTGTGTAGGGGAGAGGCCAGGAGTTCTGTTTGGGTTACATCCGTTTGTTCACCCAACAAATATTTATTGAGGACTGTGTGCTGGGCACTGTTCCAGGAGCTGGTGATGCAACAAATGAATAAAAGGGGCCTGAAGGAGGGCAGGGTGCAGGCCCTGTGGATAATGAGGCAGAGTGAGGGGAATCACCTGAGGCCAGCCTGGCTGGAGAAGACAGCTCTAGGCAGAGGGAATAGCAAGCATTCCTGGTGGGTTCAAGGAGCCACCAAGGAGAAGCTCCTTCCGTGCGGCTGGGGCGAGTGTAGCAGGAGATGTGGTTGGAGAGGAAATGGTGGGGTGGTTAGTGGGGTAGGCCATTGGGTAATAATTCATTGGCTTTTAGTTCTGAGTAAGCTGAAAAGCATTGGAGGGACTCAAGCACAGAGTGACTTGATCTGATTTGTATTTCCACAAGGTCACTCTCTCTATTGTGTTGGAAATTGACTTTAGTATCAAGTGTGGACGCAGCGGGACCAGCCACTGGCACTTGCCAACAGCTTGGATGTGTGAGGTATGAGAGAGGAATCAAGGATGACACCAAGTTGCTATGGTCTGAGCCCTGGAAGGAGGGAGTGGCCATTGACTGAAGTGGGGAAAGCTGTGTATGGAAGAAGCAGGACTGCACCAAAGATCCTAGTGCGGTTTTAGTTGTCTGTCTCAAATCACATACAGATATCAAATAGGTTGGGCCGGGCACAGTGACTCACACCTGTAATCCTAGCACCTTAGGAGGCTGAGGCAGGTGGATGGCTTGAGTCCAGGAGTTCGAGATCAGACCGGGCAACACGGTGAAACCCCGTTTCTACAAAAAAATACAAAAACTAGCCAGGTATAATGGTGCACATCTGTGGCCCCAGCTACTTGGGAGGCTGAGGTGAGAGGATTGCTTGAGCCCAGGAGGCAGAGGTTGCAGTAAGCCGGTATCACACCACTGCATGCACTCCAGCCTGGGCAACAGAGTGAGACCCTGTCTCCGAAAAACAAATAGGAAGTTGGCTGGGAGACAGGCCACCTTGAACTTCATTAGTCATATGATGGATTGAAATATTGCCCTTCTTTGCCCTTCCAGAGGGTGGGCTCAGTATAGCAGGGCTGCATAGAGACTCAGACAATAGAGATTTAATTTTCAGTCTTACGATCTTTGGCTGATGGCCATAAAAGCCCCTGAATTTTGCTTTCCAGCTTCTTTGTAGGCAGCCAGCAGCCTTTAATAAAGATCATCAACTCTGTTGTTTCCTGTCATTAAAATGGGGGCTGTTTAATTAGTCCAATTGTTCTGTGGATCATTGTGACTTTGCGTCTGTGTCCTTCAATTCTGGGAAAGCAAGACTCCATTTTTCAGGCAGCTTTGGATTCCTGGAGGTCAAGTGTGGGTCTGAAATTTGGCCGGAAAAAGAACGCTCTTAGGTGGCTTGAGAAGGCATGGGGCCTGGAGTGGTGTCCGAATGGTTTGGGAGTATCCAACCGCCTGTTGGATGCTTTGACCTCGGCTGCTCAGGAGGGGCAGGGTGCAAAGCCTGGCTAAGAGATGGGGTCTGAAGGAGTTGTCACTGTCTGATTGCCAGCTAGATAGCTGAGGTCTCTGCCCTCAGTTTTCCTCTTCTGTTAAATGGGGTTGCCATAGTTCCTAGCTGATAGGGTTGTTGTTTCAGTGGTTTTCAATCCTAGATTCACGTTAGTATTATCTGGATAGCTTAAAAATAAAAGTGTCAGCCAGGCATGGTGGCTCAAGCCTGTAATCCCAACGCTTTGGGAGGCCAAGGCAGGCAGATCACCTGAGGCCAGGAGTTCGAGACCAGCCTGGCCAACTTGGTGAAACCCTGTCTCTACTAAAAATACAGAAATGAGGCGGTGTGGTGGCAGGCGCCTGTAATCCCAGCTACTCGGGAGACTGAGACAGGAGAACTACCTGACCCTGGGAGGCAGAGGTTGCAGTGAGCGCAGATCACACCACCACACTCCAGCCTGAGCAACAGAGCGAGACTCTGTCTCAAAAGAAAAAAAGTGTGTGTATGTGTGTGTGTGTCTGTCTGTCTGTCTTAAGGCCCTACCTCCAGATATTCTGAAATAAATGGTCTGGCATGGGGCCCAGACCATGTGGGTAGCATTCCTGGGAGAGCCTGGTATGTAGTGAGGATGCAGACATTAACTATTATTAGTGGTAAAAGCATCCTTGTTCTGGAGTATGTCTTTTCGCCCCACCTAGGATGGTGACTTTCCTTCATTTCACAGCCACAGCAGCTTTGGCTAACTCATCTAGAGGGATCACCAAAGAACACTCAAGAGAAGCTTGAACTGTTAGGTTTACATGGAAAGGGCATGGCTAGATCTAAAATGGGAGCAACATATTAGCCCAGAGTGCTGGCGCACACCTGTAATCCCAGCTACTCGGGAGGCTGAGGCAGCAGGATTGCTTGAACTCAGGATGCGGAGGTTGCAGTGAGCCAAGATCGCACCACTGCCCTCCAGCCTGGGTGACAGAGTGAGACTCCATCTCAAAAAATGAATGAATGAATGAACGAATAAATAAATAAATAAATAAATAAATAAATAAATAAATAAATGAAATGGGAGTGACACCATAAGATGTTATTTGCCCCACTGGTAAATGAAGTGAATACTGTGATTCCCATCTTTAAGATGAAGAAACAAAGTCACAGAGAGGTTTGGTAGCTTGCTCACGGTCATGCAGGTAATAAGTGGTGGTCCAGGCAGTCTTACCCCTGATTCTCTACTCTTCAACCATGTGTGTTCCCTCCCCAGCCAGAGAAGCCAAGAGACTGAATTCTCAACTCTGATACCCAGCACAGACCTACCGTGGGTCAAACTTTTACGAAGCACCAGACCCCGGCCCATGTGCTTCACATGTATTATATCATGTGATTCTTACCATCATATATACTCTTACTCCCATTTTGCTGCTGAAAAACAAGCTCAGAGAAGTTCAGGTGACATAGCTAGTCAATGACACAGCCGGGCTCTTTGAGCTCTGAAGTCCTCATTTGCCCTGTGGCCTCCTGTCCTCAGGAGTGGCCTGGGTGGGGACGAAGCACATGCAGTGATTTCCTGAGCAAAGAAATGAATGGGTTGGCCCAAGAGGACAAGAGGAACTGAAGCAAGGCCAAAGCATCCCTCACTGCATCTCAACAACTGAGCCACTGGGGGCCTGAAAATAGTAACATTGCCCAGTAGGGTGGCCAGCCAGCTGCGCCTGAGAACTGTGGGGTAGGTATTTGTTTCTCTGCGTGTTTAAAGATAATACCGTATGAAGCACATTGTTTCTCTTCTGTTAGTGTGAATGAAATTGCCTCTGAAAGGTTGTGTGTATTGGTTGCTTAAAATAGCTCAAGAGGAAGAATGTTTGGAAGCTGTTAGCTCCTTGAGTCTATTTCCTTGATTTATGATACCTTGGAGAGTGTGGGACCTCTTCTTGTTTACCCTTCTGGCTTTTTCTTTCTACCGTGTTTGAGTCCTTGTGTCATCATAAGCCAAAGGCATTTGTCACCAGAAAATGTGGCAACCTTTCCTAAGTAATTTAATGGGGGACCCTTTACACGTTTAATCTTTTTCCTTAAAGGGAGGAAAATGGGGAGAGGTCATTTGTTTTGGAAATGGCCATTTCTCTCTTCCAGCTGAAAACGTTCCAAGATCAGAGCAATGGCATTTGCTTGGGAGTAAGAAAAATTTGTTTTATTTTTCCGTTCACACTGAGGCCTGGCCTGGGAACTCATGAGTTTTTGTAGAACTTCCATCTTGTGGTGCCCAGGAGACCTGACAAGCTGTGAGTGAGAGGAGCCACAGAGCTGCTCTGTTCAATACGGCAGCCACTTGCCACAGGTGTATATTTAAATGTATTCAAATTCGATAAGGTTAAAAAAAACCATTTCCTCAGTCATGCAAGTCACATTTCTTGTGCTCCCTCGTCATATGTGGCTAGTGGCTACCATATTGGACAATGCAGATATAGAACATTTCCATCATCGCAGACAGTTCTGTGCAACAATACAGCCATTAGAGTGGGTCAGTGGTGGGTCGCTTGGGGCCAGCTTTCTGGGTTTTCACAGGTCTAAAAATTTCAACCATTCCCCAGCTTCTCAGAAGCCCTCTGTTTGCAGAAACAAGAAGATTCATGGAAATGGAGATTAAGGCCATTGGTTCTTGTGGCTCTAACCTCTGGACCCTTGACACAAGGTCGGGTTTTATCATTTCCAAGCTGCGTGGCCTCAGGCAAGTCACTTAGCCCCTCTCAAGTTGTTTCCTCCTCAGCAAAATGGTGTTTTAAAAAATACCTCCCAGGGATGATGTGACTATTTAAACAAAATAACAAAATGTATATAAAACAGTTAGCATAAGGCTTGGCACACAGTAAGAACTTAGATGTGTTACAATGTTTTACCTGCATTTTCTTCTTTGAGCCACACAGTATCCCGCAGAGGTAGATACTGTTGCTGATTTCAAGATGATGGAAGGGGCTTTAGGGAGTGCTATTGCTACCATCACTGCCACTGTTCCTACTGTTGATATTCCTAGGCTTGGGTTCTGCTTTTTCCTCTAAGGCTCATCTTTCCTACTGAGCTTGTTGACTGGCTTCTTGTCATAAATCAGAGGATGTTTGTTTGTTTGAACTAGGAGGTCTTCTGAGCTTTCATTCAGGGACTGTTTCTTCCACCATGGGAGGTGAGCTCTTTCAGAGGTGTTTGCCTAAAGCTGGCCTATTGGTATCTACCTGGAGAGCCGCCACCTGGACAGCTACTGCCAGGATCTGGGGCTCCTTGGAACTTGAGGTTAAAGTTTTTAGTGCTTCACATGACCTGTGGTCCTTTGGCTGAGTCTAACAGAGGCTTCACTGAGATCTTAGCTGAGGGTGGCTTTGGGAGGAGTATCTCTGAGAAGAGTAGGACCAAAAGAGTCCTCTCTTGAGCTGTAGAAAGGATCCTTCTGAAAAGATATTTGGTCACACCTGGGTCCTGGGTTGGTTCGCACCTTGACTCCCCCAGTCACTTGGCTAGATCATATAGCTAATTATTTAACTTTGCAATACCTCAATCTTCTCATCTGCGAAATGGCGATTATACTAAAACTACCTGGCAGGCTGGTTGTGCGAATTAAATGGGATGATGCTAAGTAAAGCATTTAGCCCAGCACATGGCAGGTAGCAGCCACCAGGTATGAGCTACTGTTGCCATCTTCATTATTGTTGCTTCCCAGCAATGGCATTTGGTGCACTATTTTTTCACGTATTGTTCGCATTTTCTCCTTGAGAATGTCTTATCTGTCTAGTCAGAAAAAGCGACCCAGAAGGGGTTTAGTGTGTAAAGTGAGTGTCTAAGTTAAACTTGCATATTATGGACTCTGTGTGGTCTTTTATTCTTCCTTCTTCCCTTCCCTTCCTTCCTGTCCTTTTTTCTTTTTTTGTTTTTGTTTGTTTGTTTGTTTGTTTGGAGGATGGTGGGGCTAAGAAGCATACTGTGCAGTTATCATAAAGCATGACTGTGCAGTTGTCATTCTGGTACCCCACATGGTGACCAGCCTGCCTCCTTCCTGCTGGTTCCAGCTGTATAACAAGCTAACAAGCACCACCCAGTCAAACAGTGTAATCAGAGCTGGATTATTTCTATAGGATTAATTTGTGGTGTGAAGTGCTCATGTATTTATGCAATTGCCACTCGTTTGCCAACATCCAGAATGTGCTAAATCTGCCACTAGTGATGAAATCCAAATAACTTGGAATCATATGTAGGGAATCCAGTAATTTTCATCACCATTGTTACAAGAGAGGAGTTTAAACTGGGGGAATCCAAATGGCACCGAGAAATGATGATATCCCTGCTTTCCAGGGATGATTCTACTCAGGGAAGCACCAATCTCAAAGAGAAAACAGGAAGGACACAAGGCCAGGATATTGCATGATTGTGTTGCCATTGGTGTAACTGGGTCCTCACTGAGGGCCCTCCCAGGCGACCACACCATCGTCTTTTGTGAGGCTTCTCTGGCACTGACAGATCACTCATAGTTAATGGGTAACTCAGACTCTTCTTGCCAAATAGTTGCTTTGTTTGTTATCTGTGCTGTGGTCGCCTTCATTGTCCCCACAGCCCCTCAGGCCTCAGAAGGATGTGGTGTGGAGTGGGGTGTGGTGACCTCTAGCATGAGCCCACACACTTCTTCCCCTTTCCCTTAAGTCACTCATTGCCGGAGCTGGCTGGTTGCAGAAACATCTTGAAGCACTTTAAAAATTGATGTTCTAGACTGGGTGCAGGTTCTCACACCTGTAATCCTAGCACTTTGGGAGGCCTAGGTGGGAGGATCACTTGTGGCCAGGCGTTGGAGACCAGCCTGGTCAAGATGACGAGAAATGGTGTTTTAAAAAATACCTCCCAGGGATGATGTGACTAAACAAAATAGCAAAATGTATATAAAACAGTTAACATAAGGCTTGGCACACAGTAAGAACTTAGATGTGTTACAATGTTTTACCTGCATTTTCTCCTTTGAGCCACACAGTATCCTGCAGAGGTAGATACTGTTGCTGATTTCAAGACGATGGAAGGGGCTTTAGGGAGTGCTCTTGCTACCATCACTGCCACTGTTGCTACTGTTGATATTCCTAGGCTTAGGTTCTGCTTTTTTCCTCCAAGGCTGATGAGACCCTGTCTCTATATAAAAGTAATAGTAATAAATAAGTTTTGAAAATAACATTAGTATTCTGGAACCCACCCTGAATCTATTAAGTGAAAACCTGTAAAAGTGGGGCTAAGACATCTGTTTTTTTGTTTTGTTTTGAGAGGAAGTCTCCCTCTGTCATCCAGGCTGGAGTATAGTGGTGTGATCTCAGCTCACTGCAAGCCTTGCCCCGGTTCAAGTGATTCTGCCACCTCAGCCTCCCAAGTAGCTGGGACTGCAGGTGCACCCCACCACGCCCGGCTAATTTTTTTTTTTTTTGTACTTTTAGTAGAGATGGGGTTTCACCATGTTGGCCAGGCTGGTCTCAAACTCTTAACCTCAAGTGATCTACCCACCTCGACCTCCCAAAGTGCCAGGATTACAGGTGTGAGCCGCCATTCCCGACCAGAACATCTGTATTTTTTTTTTCTTTTCTTTTTTGAGAAGTGGTCTCACTCTGTCACCCAGACTGGAGTGCAGTGGTGCAGTCTCAGCTCATTGCAACCTCCATCTCCTGAGTTCAAGCAATTCTCCTCCCTCAGCCTCCTAAGTAGCTGGGATTACAGGCATGCGCCACCACACCCAGCTAATTTCTGTACTTTTCATGGAGACAGGGTTTCACCATGTTGGCCAGGCTGGTCTTGAACTCCTGATCTCAGGTGATCCACCCTCCTTGGCCTCCCAAAGTGCTGGAATTACAGGTGTGAGCCACTGTGCCTGGCCGACATCTGTATTTTTAAAGCAACTCTTGCGGCGATTCTAGATAAACGGGCAGGTTTGTGAATTCCATCTACATCACTGGGGGTGGATTTTATTCTGCGCTCCTCTCACAGTATGTATGGGGCAAAGGACCCTCTTGAGGATGTACAGTTTGGGAAAGGCCAGTCTTTGAGGGTCTTCTCTGTGGGTGGTAAGATGGAGATCATGGTTAGGGTGATTTGAGTAGGGGGAGGTGGGGAGAGGTGTTAGAAAGATAACCAATGTTTATTGGATGCTATCTCGTTTAATTTTTCCAACCAAATGTGATGAGTCGGTGGTGATAAAAATATAGGTTGTTATTTGCCGAATGCCTACTATGAGGTGAGCAGGACACTAGTGATTTGCATGCAGTATCTTGTGGAATCCTCACTACAGCCTGTGAGCTGTAGGTCACATTATTTATCCTCATTTTACAAATGAGGAAACTGAGGCCTTGAGATAGTTGAAATGACTTGCTCGAGGTCACCCATACACACAAGTAGCAGAGCCAGCGTTTGAGATTAGTACTGTCAGACTTCAAAGCCCACGTTTTCCATGCTGAAAGTTTTAATCAAAAGCATTAGGCTATTGGGTCAAATAAGAATCCTGCATTATAAGTACAGTGTCAGAATTTTTTGAGAAAGCTGCTTGTGCCATCTTTCCTCAAGGTACGGCCCTTTGGCCTTTCCAGTCCTGGCTTTGAGAACCTTGTTATTTCCCTAGGCTGAGACCAGCAGCCAGTCAGCTGTGCCCGTCCTAAGGCTGTCTGTGTTGTGGTCTGCTGTTCCTCCTCCTCAACCCCTGCCTCCTTCCCTACACAGCCCCTGCATGCAACTCTTCTCCCCAGACAGGCGCAGAATCGGGGCCTTCCTCAACAAATAAGCCAGGTTCCGGAAGTGCTGCAGTTTCCACCCAGGTGCAAGCCCAGCACAGGCCTCCTCTTAGCCAGCACTCATCCGAATCCACTCACTTGCACTCAGGTGGTTGTCCTCCTCAGTAAACTGAGAAGCAGTAGGGCCTTGTGATTGACGGTGTGGGTATGAAGCTGGACTGCCTGCATTCAAATCTTGGCTCCACTTCTTCTTGGACAAATTACTTCATATCTCGGTGCCTCAGTTTACTTGTCTGTAAGATAGGGATAATCCTGTTTCCCTCATATGATAGTTGTGGACAAGATTAAATGAACTACACCTCGTAAAATGCTTGGAACAGGACCTGGTGTGTGAGTCTCCCGTATGTTAGTCATGATGATGGTGATGATGATTACCAGTTTGGGGGTTATCTTTGGCCACCCTTCCTTTGGCATGGGGAGGGAGCCCACCCATATGCAAGCATTAACCCTGAGTCTTACAGTAGGGAAATAAGGGCTTTGGAAACAAACCCGGGTCTAACTGCAGGTAAGCTGCTTTTTTTTGTTTGTTTGTTTGTTTTGTTTTTTTTTGAGACAGGGCCTCCCTCTGTCACCTAGGCTGGAGTGTAGTGGTACGATCATGGCTCATGACAACCTCAAACTCCTGGGCTCAAGTGATCTTTCCACCTGATCCTTCCAAACAGCTGGGACTACAGGCACAAGTCACCACACCCAGATAATTTTTTAAAATTTTTTATAGAGATAAGATCTCACTATGTTGGCCAGGCTAGTCTCAAACTTGTGGCCTCAAGCAATCCTCCTGCCTCAGCCTCCCAGAATGCTGTGCCTGGCCTGGCTGCTTTTTTAATGTGGTGCTAGGCAAGTACCTCAACCTATTTGTTTTTTAATCTATAAACTTGGAATGATAGTAGTACCTGCCTTATGGTGTTGTAAATGTGAAATGCAAAAGTGTAAACAATGCTTCTCAGAAGGTGCATGGGCTCAGCTGACATTGAATGAATAGGAGGAAAAATTAGTTGAATAAGCTTTAGTAGTAAGTGAAAAAAATAAGCTCAAAAGATTATATTACAGCACAATACAATGTAGAGAAATTAAAAACAAATATTGGATGGCAGGAACGTCAGGTTCTGGGACAGCTGGAGACAGTGGTGGTGACTGGAATAACTTTACCAAAGGAAAGCTATTTAGTGAACTGTCCCCTCCAGTAGAGTTGGCCAATGTGCTTTGTAACAGAGCCAGACTGTTTTCCTATCTCCCAGGATTTTACTCTTTAGTTAAAACGTTGGCAATCCCAAAGCCTTTTCAACCGCAGGATTGTCAGGTTTAGGTGTCTCATGTGGCCGCTCTACCTCCAGATATATGCTCTCAAAAGGTGTGGCCTGATGAAACTATGGGACCGTTTGGACCTCAAGATCAGAGGTTCAAGCTTCCTGGGATCATAGGTTTTGATTGTCACCTCAATGGGACTGCTTCACAGAAGAAAAGCCTGCTTTATAAAACTTTGCCTGATGTTCTAGCAGAAACTTTATCAAGTGAAAGACACAAGTTTGTGATGACACAATATGTGAATGAATTTCAGGGTAATGATGCACCTGTTGAACAAGAAATTAACAGTGCAGAAACTTAACTTTGAAAGTGCCAGAGTGGAGTGTGCAATACAAACGTGTCCAGAATTGTGGCGAAAAGATTTTGAATCACTGTTTCCAGAAGTAGCTAATAGCAAATTAATCATTCTGACTGTAACACAGAAAACTAAGAATAATATGACTGTTTAGAGTGAAGAAGTAGAAACTGAAAGAGAAGTGCTCTTAGAAAAGTTCATCAATGTTGCTAAGGAAATTTGCTGTACTCTTTGTGCTGAGGGATATTGGGCTGACTTTACTGACCCATCATCTGGTTTGGCATTTTTTTGGACCATATACAAACAACAATCTTTTTGAAACTGATGAATGCTACCGACATTTAGGATTCTCTGTTGATGACCTTCGATGCTTAAAGTGATTCGTCATAGTCTCTGGGGTACCCGTGTAGTTGTAGGAAGCATCTTCACTAATGCAACACCAGACAGCCATATTATGAAGAAATTAAGTGGAAATTAGCGGAAATGTCCATTCATTTGCTGTATTATTTGTATGTAATATTTGGGTTGATCTATAAACACTGTCAGACTAAAGTTTTTAAAATATACTTATTTCTATTTATTTCAGCATTTATGAATTTACAACATTGGTAAGTGATATGGGATTTTAAAATTGCAAATGTTCATTATTCATATCATTGAATACATGTTGAGCACACCCACATTGTATAGGTTGTGGTAATTAGCTTGTAACTAGGGTATTATCTGTTATTGTTATTTCTCCCCTTTATTGGAAAAAGGCCTCAGTTTTAATTACTTTCTTCCAAAAATAAATCACACATTTGGTTACGAAAAAAAAAAAAAACCCAAATATTAAGATGTGCTGAAGGAGTACATTACAGGCACAGTAAATACCATGTAAGAGAGAAAGTGAGGGGATGGGAAACACGGTTGATGGTTATGCCTCATGGGAAGAGGGAAAGGGAAGGATTAGGGGAGGGAGGGTCATATGGTTTAGATGCATGTAGATGGTTGCCAAGGCTCTAGCTTTTGTTTGGGAGTTGAGTTCACATTATAGCTAATTAAAAATGGTCATGAACCAAGGATTATGATAAATCCAATTTGTGCACCTGAGGTTAAAAAATTAGTGGGTTCTCAATAGGTGGTAGCTATTTATTATCCCATGAACCACCTGAACCATGCCACAGGCCACCATTCATACCCTTTCTGATTGCCTCTCATCTGTGCAAAATGCTCTGAGAAGTGAGTTTTCTCTTCCAGCCACAGTGGCTTTCACATGGAGAACACAGAACAGTAGGGATATTTAAGTTGCCTGGATTCTTAGGTTGGGGCAGGTCTTAGGCATGAGCTCCCGTATGTGTCTAAAACAGTTGAACAAAGACAGGGTTGTTTTTGTCCTTGCTGTGCCAGATGTAAAGGCTTTCATTAGAGTCACCTTAGGAGCATTCATGTTAGCCAGGAGATTTTCCTTCCAAGAGAAGGAAACGTTTGGGTTGGATCTGATAGTGTTTGCCTTGGTGTGATTTTAGACCTTTCTGTTTCCATCGTCACCACTCAGCATCATGACTTTTGCCTGTGGCTTTTTTTTTTTTTTTTCACCTGTGGCTCCCTTCCCTTAGTGGAAAGGGGAAGCACCAAGATGTTTGAGACACATCAGTCATGTGCTTGCAGATCCCAGCATCTGGGTATAACGTATCCTCATGTCCTGCCTCTGAATCTTGAATTTGACAGAGTAAAGGAGACAAGAACATAGGTTTTGGAATTAGGGAGACCTGGGTTCAATTTTGGGATCTTCACTGTGTGATTTGAGCTGGAGGCATTACCTGTTTTTCCTTTATTTTATTATATTTTATTTTTTGAGACAGTCTCACTCTTGTCATCCAGGCTGGAGTGCAGTGACACAATCTCAGCTCACTGCAACCTCTGCCTCCCGGGTTCAAGCAATTTTCCTGCCTCAGCCTCCCGAGTAGCTGGGATTACAGGTGAGCACCACGATGCCCAGCTAATTTGTTTATTTTAAGTAGAGACAGGGTTTTGCCATGTTGGCCAGGCTGGTCTTGAACTCTTAACCTCAAGTGATCTGCCCACCTTGGCCTCCCAAAGTGCTGGAATTACAGGCTTGAGCCACCATACCCAGCCTGTTTTTCCTTTATTTTTAGTTTTTGGGAATTTTGTTTGTTTGTTTGTTTTTCTTATTTATTTGTTTTGTTTTGTTTCTCCTTTAGTATAGATTGGGATGCATAAAGACCAGAGTCTTAAATGCACAGCTTGATGAATTTTTACCCAGACATGCCGCTATGTAACTTACCCAGGTCAAGATCAAGATTTAAAACACTCCTGCCTAGGAGACACCCTCATGGCCATTCCTTGTTAGTGTCTACCCCACATAACTATTATTCTGACTCCTGCCACCTTCAATTACTTTTACCTGTTCTTGAACTTCTGGGGGTAGGTAAATTATTAAACCTTTCTGAGCCTCAGTTTATTTTTTAAAGTGATAGTACTTGTGCTATAGGGTTGGATTAGGAGAATCAACTGAGACAACACATGTAAAATCATTCGAGAAATATTTGTAAAACCCTTGATGCTTAATAAGTTAAAGCTGTTTGTTTATGAATGGCCATTGTTGACCTCAAAGTCTTTGCCTGTTTCTCACCCAGACGAAGCAGGCATTTCCCCAGTGCTCACCATAATTCATGTTCCTGTGCCCTCCATTTCCTTCCATGTCCTGTGACTCCCTGAACGCACTTCAGAGACTGTTCCATCAGTGGCTTTCAGGATTTTTTTTTTTTTTTAACTGAAACCAGTTCTTCTTGCTTAATAAGGCAGAGGAAATGGGCAGGAAAGCAGAGTTCTCCTGCCTTTGCCTCTTTTTCAAAGAGGGTCTGTTTGCTCTATTAGCAAAATCAACAGAGGCATTGCTGGACAGCGGGCTAGGCTGGACCAACTCCCCTGGGCTCGGGGGGTGGTCCCTGGATGCTGGGTTTGCTGAGGGCCAGGAGTGGGTCACTGTGTGCTTTCAAAAGCAGCTGGAGGAGCCAGTTTTTCTAGCTCCTCCTCAAAAAACCCAACCAAAATATCTACCCCTGTGATTGGCTAAAATTATCCAATTATAATTTAATTCCCTTAGGTCAAGGGTGGATGGGTGCATAATACCCTGAGTGTGAGTGTGGGGGTTACATTTTCGGAGGGAATAATTTTGCGTGTAGGATTCCATTTGACCTTAGTCTGAATGATTACTAGCGTAGCCTTTCCTTAAGGTAGGTCTTCATGGAGGAGAAGGGAGAACTGTGCAGTGGGTAGGTGGCAGTGAAGATGCAGGAGGCTGGGACAGGTTAGAGGGTGAATGCTCCAAATTTGTGATGTGATCTAGAGCTAGGTCTGCCTACAGCCACATCACATGCATTTACAGATGCCTCCTTTACGTTAAGTGCTGCATCAGAATAGAGGCGAAAAGTTACAGTCCTGCCCTTCAGGAGCTCTGGGTCCGAAAGCAAGAATCAAACAGGCAGTTGTAATACAGGCTATTGCATACTATACTGGGAAGACCATGGCTACAAAATCAGATTGGGGGCATGGAGTTGTCATAGTCCCAGAGGTGGTCATTTGTGTTGAGATCTGAAAGATAAATAGAAGTTAGCCCTCAGGCTTGTAAAACCTGTGACTCATGTCACCATATCCTTGGGACTCTCACCAGGAAATACATTTCCAAGGATAACTTCTGCTCACTCCATAAATGAGGTTTGGCTTTTACTGAACTACTTAACACTTTTGCTAGCAGCAAAGCTGGGGTTTTTAATTTTTCTTTTTCCCGCAGTCTTGCAACCCTTCTACCCCGTGCAATGTAAACTTGAATACATAGATCTTCTGGCTCTGCAAAAGATTATCACTTCTTCTGGGTGAGTGAAAGAGGCTGGATGGGAAGATTCATTTATCAACTGAAGACTTTATTAGTAAGAGTTTATGAGTAAGAGAGTAACCTCATTACAGAGCCAGAAGAGAGAGATGTTTGTTATGGAAGAGATACCCACTTGGCATCCCTCACGTGGCCAGTCATGGTGTTTGGGGCCAGCATGCCAAATTGCTCCAGTTACCATGGGACCCAGACTTAGACAGGAAATCATGGTAGGATGGGAAGGAGTCCAAAATACACATGGCTGGTATATAGGCTACAGTTAGAAAAGAGAGTAAGAGAACAGTGTATCTATTTTCCTGAAGGAGTATTGCAACCTCAGATGGGGTTGTTTTTCCACAACTCCTTACTCCTTGCGTTTTATGGTCCTGATTTTTCAAGCTTTAATTTTTTCCGCGTTAAGCAATACTTACATGAGTTGAAGTGACCCTTTATATGCTTGTGGTAAGCACTTCTTAGGCTTGTCATGTATGCTTTTTAAAATGCCTCCAAACTAAAAAGAAGCCAAAGTCCCTTCAATCAGGAGGACTTTATTCTTCAACACGTGGAAGGAATATCTTTTTGGTTTTACCACAGCTGTCTCTTTCCTGCAAGCAGCCCATTTGAAACCCAGAACTCCCTCGTTTTATGGGATGTGCTGGTGGAACATAGGAGGGGGTCCACTGGAAGGCTGGATTTCTTGGAAATCTCTGCTGCCAAGCTCAGCAACTGAAATTTCTCATTCATAAAGAGGCAGATTTGCATCCTGCCCATGAAGTTGTTAAAAGAAGTTGGAGAATCAGGAAGGGGATCTTACCTGTACTTTTGCAGATGTAGCTCTGGAAAAGTTCCAAAGGGATCTGACTGCATGCACATAGCTTGGGAACAGTTCCAGGCCTCCAGAGGAACATTTAACAGGTCACTATTGATAGCATTTTCCATGAACCACCCTAACATATTTCTTGGGAGTGTGCTAAACTGTTGATGAAATGACAGTTATAGCATGGGGTTTGCACCCCTATGCCTCATTGACAACTATCTCTCTGCTGGATTGGGTATAATTTATCAATTGAATTTATTTCATAAGTTTATTGCCTTTACCCCACACTATGATGTTATAACCATGGCCATTTTAGGAATGAGAGGTGATGACAATAATCCCTAATACAGGTACAGTTTCTCATGGTTTTTACAAAGCACTTTCACATTCTTTCTCATTTGATCTCACAGCTATTATAGCTACCATTTATTGTGTCTTTCTATATATCAGACACCTTACTAAACACTTTATAAACTTTACCTTATTTAATTCTTAAAATAACTCTGTGCAACAATACTCTGATTTGTTCCCATTTTACAAAGAAGGAAACTGAGGGTCAGAGAGATTGGGCCTCTTGACCCAAATCCTAATCTTGGATCTAGGGTAGACTAGGGATTTGAACCTAGATCTACCCAACTCAAAGCCCAAAATACCAGGCAGTACTGGCTCCTATTCTCCCTGTGTTAGAGGCAGAGGGCTTTGTTTTCCTTTAGAAGAAAATGAAGTGCAGAAGGGTTTACTTGAGGTCCCATGGCCAAGGAGTGACCCAGCAGGGACCAGAAGTCAGGAGTCCTGAGATCAGTGCTTTGTCGTTACCCAAGACCTGTTTATCTAAGCAGTATTCCCCAAGTGAAGTCCCTGGCACTTCCCAGCCAGCAACCACTTGGTCAGAAATAGCCAGTCCTGGACTCATACTTGGGCACAGAGATGGGACGGAGTTCTGGGAATCCAGTGCATCATTCTCATTTCCTAAGTAATTTAAAGCTAAGAAACCATAAAGTAGCTTCTAAGTACACTTCTGTTTACCATTTCAGTGTCAGGACTCTGCAGGCTACAGACACAGTTGAATTTACTGGCTTGTTTAAAAGTCCCAAAGTAGGATTGGCTTCAGGTACACTTTGACTCAGAGGTTCACTGGTACCTTTGGGACCCTGTTTCTTTTGCTTACTCTTGCTTCTGGATTCTGCTCCTGGGTTGGCTCCATTATCTGGCAGCCTTTCTCCTGTGGTTGCAAACTAGCTGCAGCAGCCTCAGCTTTGAAGCTGAGTAGGAAAGGGGACCAGTTGGCTTCTTGTGATAGCTCAAAGATTCTGGACTTGAGTCTCGTTGGCTCTGATGGGCCTGGCCTAGGTCATGTGCCCCATCATTGAACCAGTCATTGTAGTCCATAACCACATGCTCCACCCCATGCTGAGAGGGAAGGTTGGGAGCCCTCATGGCCTGAGAACTGTAGGTCAGCTGTGGATAGAAGAGGAAGATTGGATGCTGTGGAGAGAAGATGCTGGGTGATCTGGGCAGGGGGGTGGAGTGGGAAGTGGGATGGAAGATGGATCTGGAAGGAAGTGGAGTGGAAAAACCAGTCTTCTAGAGAAACACATCACCACATTAAGTAGGGCAAGGGTAACTTTATTTGAAGAGTTTCAACAGACCATTAATGAGAGTATCTTTTGGTTGCTGCTGTTAGAGCAATTATTTGTTATATTCACTGACTTCAGTGTTTATTTGTTCTAATGAAACCTTTCCTCTCTGAAAGAGAAGCACTTCTTTAGAGGGTGTCTTAAATATTCAGATTACAGGTTTGAAGGAGTGAGCCATTTAGGTGCTGAATAGCTTGCAGGCTGGGTTTATTTCTGTCTTAATGGGATCTTAAATTGTGCCAGATGAATTTAAATGTTACTTCTCTTCTAGTCTATCTCTGACCCAGTGCTACCTTGACATACTTGAAGTTTTAGTTCAACTGTTTGGTCTAAACTGAGTGTTGACAATTATTATTGAAAAGTTCATCTCGTAGATTTTTGCTTTTAATCAGCTGTAGATGCAAATAGAAGGTGTGACCATATGAGAGGCCACGTGTTTTCAGGATTCTGGATGGCTAAGTGGCCAATTTGCTTTCCATTTCAGAACTAAACCAGACAAGGAGGGGTGTTATAAAATGTTCCTTTTGAAGTACCTACAACTAACTAGATCCAGATAGTGTGAATGTTGAGAGCCAATAAGGGTTCCTTGAATGCCTGCCCGGTGGCCGGCATCTCTAGAGGCATCATGGAGAACAAAAAGGTGGTTTCTGCTCTGGAGGAATGAATGATCCTGTTGCAGTAATAACAGAAACTGTTTATTCAGCAGTTACTAGCTCAGGTACAGTGCTAAGAATTTTGCATACGTTGTCTCATTTAATCCTCATCACACCAGTAGAAGGGCAGATACTGTTCTCCTCAATTTTCAGAGGAAGCAGCAGAGGCTTGGGGAGGTTAGGCAGCCTGCCCCAAGTCACCAAGCAAGTGAGCATCAAAGCCAGCCTCACACCAGGCTCCCTCCAGCTGCAAAGCCTGCGTCCCTCACTCCGATGCTGTGGATAGAGACTGTCATTGCAGGATTTCTCACAGTCAAAAAAGCAAGTACTCCCTTGATAACAGATTTCATCACTCTTGAAACTGGAAGCCTGGGAAGAAGGAAGATTGCCTGAATGCTGAAGCCAGTGTCTTTCCAGAAGGGGGGATACTGAGTGGGCCTCCTTCCAACCTGTCTGACCCACGTGATCTCTCCATCTGTCTGACTTTGACTGCCAATCCAGCCTGGACAGCAGGACCAGTCCAAGCACAAACCAAATCTTTATTCTGGAGTTGGACAGAGTCAGAGTTGCTTAGGGCTGATGAGGCCACCTTAATCTCAATATTTTCACACACTGTGCTAGATGACACATTTCAGAGTACAGGCAGAATGAGGGTTGGAAATGTTAAACAGCCAGCGAGGAGTTGGGTCTGGGAGTGAGACAGCAGACAAAGTGCATTCTAACCATGTACACGCAGCTGCCGGGGGATTGTTTAAACCAGATTCTGCCAAGGTCATAGCAGCAGAAAACATAATCCAGAACTCTTTCTCCCAGGCAGGATCATTTGGTTTCTAAAGTTTTTTTCTCTGTAAGTTTCTCTTGGGAGAAACGTATCTGGGAGAGGGGGAAGAGTGGAAATACGGGAATTTTATTTTAAATCCTTAACAACATGCATATAGAGTCCCACTTATAGGATGATGCTATAGAGTTGACATTTTACCCCCAAGGAAGGAGTATGTAATCCTGGGCTGAGGATGACTTTTTCCAACAAGGTCCCTGACTCCTGTCACTTTTGGGGTTGCTTTCCTTCAAAAGCTAATTGAGAGTGGAAAGGAACTGGGGTGAGTGAAGATAACCAAATGTGCCTGAGGCCTGAGAGTGAGAGCCAGGCCACGTTTCCCCTGCTACTGGGCCCTCAAGTGGCTAGGGGGGTGGATTCCTAGGGTGGGACACAGAGGATCTTCCTGAATTGCTCCCACTCCTTTCCCCTAGAAATATCATCTTCTTTGATGCTTTATATAAAAACTAGGATTGCAATGTCCCTCTTTATCCTTAGTAATCTTCTTTGCTGTGAAGTCTACTTTATCTGATATTAGAGCCACTCCAGCTTTCTTTTGATACGTTTGCGTAATGTTTTTCCATACATTTAATTTTAACTAGCCTATATCGTATTCCAAGTGAGTTTCTTGTATACAGCAAATAGTCATGTTTTGTTGTTTATCTGTTCTCATAATCCATTATCTCCTAACTGGTATGTTTTTTTCTTATTTTATTTTTGAGACGGAGTCTCGCTCTGTTGCCCAGGCTATAGTGTAGTGGCGCAATCTTGGCTCACTGCAACCTCCACCTCCCGGGTTTAAGCGATTCTCCTGTCAGCCTCCTGGGTAGCTGGGATTACAGGAACCCACCACCACGCCCAAATACAAAATAATTTTTGCATTTTTAGTAGAGACAGGCTTTCACCATGTTGCCTAGGCTGATCTTGAACTCCTGACCTCAAATGATCTGCCTGCCTCAGCCTCCCAAAGTGCTGGGATTATAGGCATGAGACAACGCACCCAGCCCTAACTGATATGTTTAGAACATTTACATTTAATCTAATTGTTTATGTATTTGGATCTAGTTTCTGTTATTTTATTATTTGTTTCTGTTTGTTCTGTTTTTGGCTACTCCCTTTCTCCTTTCCTGCCTTTAGATTATTTAAACTTTTTTTTTTTTTTTTGAGACAGGGTCTCCCTCTGACACCCAGGCTGGAATGCAGTAGCATGATCTCGGCTCACTGCAACCTCTGCCTCCCAGATTCAAGTGATTTTCATACATCAGCCTCCCAGGTAGCTGGGACTACAGGCATGTGCCACCACACCTAACTAATTTTTGTATTAATATTTTTAGTAGAGATGGGGGTCTCACCACGTTGGGCAGGCTGGTCTTGAACTCTTGGCCTCAAGTGATCCAACTGCCTTGGCCCCCCAAAGTGTTGGGATTACAAATGTGAGCCACTGTACCTGGCTAGAACATTTTTCAGTATTCTGTTTTAATGTATCTATTATGTGTTTTGACTATATCTCTGTGGTTTTTTTGGTGGGTGGTCTAAGGATTAAAAACTACATACTTAATTTTCCATTGTCAACTTAGAATCGGTATTTTCCTAGATGTTTAAGTGGAATGTATAGAAAGCTCACCACTATCCCTTTACCCTTTGTATAAAATCTAACATTGTAGGAGACTGCTAGCCTATTAGAGTACAGAGAGAGAAGAAAGACCTGGAAGGAATTAAGAGTTGGTTTTACCTCACTCATTCATTCATTTAGTAAACATTTATCCAGCTTTTTCTTTATTTTATTTTATTTTATTTTATTTTATTTTATTTTATTTTATTTTATTTTATTTTATTTTATTTTTTGAGACTGTCTCACTCTGTCGCCCAGGCTGGAGTGCAGTGTTGCAATCTCAGCTTACTGCAACCTCCACCTCCCGAGTTCAAGTGACTCTCCTGCCTCAGCCTTCCAAGTAGCTGGGATTACGGGCATGTGCCACCACACCTGGCTAATTTTTGTATTTGCAGTAGAGATGAGGTTTTGCTGTTTTGGCCAGGCTGGTCTCGAACTCCTGGCCTCAAGTGATCTGCCTGCCTCAATCTCCCAAAGTGCTGGGATTGCAGGCGTGAGTCACTGCACCCGGCCTATCCAGCATTTGACCAGGCAGCAGAATCCCCTCTCCTGGGCTGGATAATCTATAGATCAATACAGTAGTAAGAGTAGTAATAGTAATAGCTAACTTCATTAAGCACTTACTATGTGCCATGCACTTTTCTAGGTTCTTACAGGTAGTATATTGCTATTTCAATAATGCTATGATGTTGGTGCTATGATTATCTGCACCTTATAAGTGAGGAAACTAGGGAACGGAGAGCTTAACTTGCCTAAGGTCACGTCGGCAGCAGATAGCAGAACTTTGGGCCCACTGATTTTTAATCCTGCATTATCACAGAACCTCCATGGGGAAAGAACACATACTGGAAGGTATAGCACTGGTTCTGTCTTGGAGAGCATTTATTCTCCACCACATTCAGACCTTCCTCTGATAGTGGCCACTGATGGACCACTAAAGAGGCTCTTTTTTCCCAAACTAGTTATTTTTCCTATCCTCCTGTAAATATTCATAGGATATCTTCTTTGTGTCAGGGATTATGCACATAATATCAGAGCTCTGAGAACTTTGACTTTGAATCTGAAGTTAAAACTGGGAAGTGTCCAGGTATGGTGGCTCATACCTGTAATCCCAGCACTTTGAGGGGGCCAAGGCAAGAGGATTACTTGAAGCCAGGAGTTTGAGACCAGCCCAGGCAACCTCAACAACAAAAAAGAACAAACCAAAAAAAGAACTGGAAAGCACTCTAACTGTGACCGAATCAGTGCACTTTTCAGATGTGGACTCTGAGGTGGAGGGAGGTGATACAGTCTGCCACGGGCACTCCAGTAGAGGCTGAGCCTGCCGGGACATAGGCCTCTGACTCCTGCTTTGGTGTCTTTGTGCGTCTTTGTGCTTTCTTGGCAGAAAGGTAGGGGAAGCTAAAAAGTAGCAGAGCTGGAAATTCTGATCTGTAACTGAACAGGGACAGCCAGCGGTCCCCAAAGGGGAGCCTCTACTTGCATGCCAAGCCTCAGAAGGCTTTGGCAGCTGGGCTGTGCTATTTAATAACCTCCTGGAGGCTGATCCAGTGGTCTGGCAGCATTACTGACCAATGCTGAGGTTTATTTGTAGGCTTGGGTTTTGCATTTCCTGAAGAGGCAGGAGTGGACCCTAGGAAGAAGTGTTGGAGGGGTAGCTCAGTCTAACTGGCACCTGTTTTTTTAACAGCATGACTTACTGTGGGAATGACAAGTAGATATCACCTCATGGACCAAGCCTGATCAATCATCACTGTCTGGAGCACTGTGGTGAATTCAGGCTCAGAAGAAAGAATTCAGAAATCCATTGATGATGCCTATCATGGGCCCAGGAATAGGGGCTGGAAACTTGTCTGGCAGATATTTACCACTAGTGTGAGGGTTAAAGTAAGCCTGGGATTTTAATTATAGCACAATAATATCTGTCCTCATAGGACTGTTGTGAGGACTAACTAAGAATTTATGTAAAGTAGCTGGGCATGGTGGCTCATGCCTGTAATCCCAGCACTTTGGGAGGCTGAGGCAGGCAGATCACTTGAGGTCAGGAGTTCAAGACCAGCCTGGCCAACATGGTGAAACCCCGTCTCTACTAAAAATACAAAAACTAACTGGGTATGGTGGCAGGCACCTGTAATCCCAGCTACTTAGGAGGCTGATGCAGCATTGTTTGAAACCAGGAGGCAGAGATTGCAGTGAACCAAGATCATACCATGGCACTCCAGCCTGGGCAACAGAGTGACACTCCATCTCAAAAAAAAAAAAAAAAAAAAAAAAAGAGGGAATTTACGTTGATGTAAAGTGCTCATTAGCTTAGTCATTTGTTTTGCTTTGTGTTGGTAAGGGCTTTTCAAAAGAAAGAAAGTTCAGTTTATTCATTCAAATATTTGAGTGCCCTCCATACACCTGGTGCTAATTTGGCCCTGGAGAAAGATTGTGCAAGCTATACTAGGTCACTCTTCTCATGGAGATTGTTCTACATGGAAGAAATAGACAATAATTAGTAAATAAACAAGTAGGATGACTTCACATAGTGATAACTGTATTGAAGAACAACAAAAATTAGGCTAATACGAGACAGAAGGACTATGAAGGGGGAGGAAACCCCTGTGACAGGGTGACATTTGAACAGAGAACGAGCCGATAGTGCAAAGATCTTGGAGAGAGAAGAAAAAATGTGAAAGACTCAAGGAGAAACAGCCTTAAGGCATAGTGAACTTACAGAAGGCAGGCCAGAGACACCATGCCCTAGTTGCTAAATGCTTTCATTATAAAAATTTAAAAACATTAAAAAAGTATACAGGCTTACGTAATAACCTCTGTATATCCATCACATAGATTGAACTGTTAGCTCTGTTTTGACTCTTGCTATCTGCACCTCCCTTTTTTGGCTGTACTTGGTTAAAGCAAATCCCAGACATCATGACATTTTATCCCTAAATACTTCAGTATGTATCCCTTAAAAAATAAGCATTTGCGGCCAGGCGCAGTGACTCACGCCTGTAATTCCAGCACTTTGGGAGGCTGAGGCAGGCGGATCACTTGAGGTCAGGAGTTCGAGACCAGCCTGGCCAACATGGTGAAACCCCGTCTCTACTAAAAATACAAAAATTAGCCGGGCATGGTGGCAGGTGCCTGTAATCCCAGCTACTCGAGCTAAGGTACAAGAATTGCTTGAACCCAGGAGGCAGAGGTTGCAGTGAGCCGAGATCGTGCCACTGCACTCCAGCCTGGGCGATAGAGCGAGACTCAATCTCATAAATAAATAAATAAGCAAGCAAGCATTTGTTCCCACCTAGGCAACATGGTAAAACCCCATCTCTACAAAAAAATACAAAAATTAGCTGGGTGGGTGGTACGCACCTCTGGTCCCAGCTACTGGGAGGGTGGGGGGCTGAAGTTGGAGGATCACTTGAGCCCAGGAAGCAGAGGATGCTGTGAGCCAAGATTGCACCACTGCATTAGAGCCTGGGTGACAGAGAGAAAAAAGCGTTTCCTTACATCCTAATGTAGTTTCTTGCATTTAATTCTCACAATGCCATTGTCATGATTAATAATTTATTCTTTTTCTCTTATTATTTTATTTATATATTTATTTATTTATTTATTTGAGATGGAGTCTCACTGTGTCACCTAGGCTGGAGTGCAGTGGTGCAATCTCAGTTCACTGCAACTTCCACCACCCAGGTTCAAGTGATTGTCCTGCCTCAGCCTTCCTAGTAGCTGGGATTACAGGTGCATGCCACCATGCCCAGCTAATTTTTGTATTTTATTAGACGTGGGGTTTCACCATCTTGGCCAGACTGGTCTCGAACTCCTGACCTCAAGTGATCCACCCTCCTCAACCTCCCAAAGTGCGATTAACAATCTCTTAATACAACCTAGTACTTAGTCTATACCCAAATTTTCCTGCTTGCCTCAAAAATATAAATTAGTTTGAATCAGATTCTAAACAAGGTCTGTGTATTGCATCTAGTTATTAACCAGATCATGTGTTTCATGATGAAAAGGTATTTGACGTCAGACCTACCTTATCTGGATGGGTTTTGCGTGCCTTTCTGGCCAGATATGTAGCTTAGATCGTTAGAAGCCCTGAAGGGCTGTGAACCCCTGCCAATACTGTCAGGTTATTTCCCAGAGGGATATTCAGAAATCCTCTGCCCTTCCTTCATTGTTGCTAACAAAACTGTGGCTCTTTCGGTGTCAGAAGCAATGGGGGTATGAGTTTGGGCTTTCTCTGCTGACCCAGAGGTGAGTCCCGACTGTCCTGAAGGCTGTCACGATTCTAGTCCCATTGAGAGTGATTGGTTTCAGAACAGGCATGTGACCCAGTTCAAGCCATCAAGGCCTGAGGGAAGGATGCTAGGTGGAGCTTCTCTGGAAGGGTTTCTTTTCCCTTGGTTTGGGGTCTTGAGACTTGAATGGTATATGCGAACATCATGTCTAGAGCTGCGGCAGCTGCCATCTCATGACTGCAGGGAAAATCAGGCAAAACCCAACATCTTGATGCAGGCCAAGGTGGGAGAAAGGACATAACTTGGGTCCTTGATGACACTGTTGAGTCACAGAACCAACCAACCCTGAAACTACCCTACCCAGCTCTTCTTACAGGAGACAATAACGCCCTGGCTGTTTAAGCCACTTTTAGTTGTTGGCTTTGCATCCGGGTGCATCCCAATGATACATCACAGGCATCTTTCTGGATAAAGCAATATTGTCTCTAATAGGTTTTTATTTACTTTGAGACAGAAAAGAAGTAACCTTTAAAGTCTATCCTTATTCTCTTGCTTAAACCACTGTTTTTATTTTTTCCAATTGGTTGGTGAATATTTCTCCTTTTTCCTGTTGAACTTCAATTGAATATGGCACACTCTCATGAGTTGTCTATAAACATTTAAGAAGCTTTGGCTTCTGTGGAATAAGAAATACGCAGCTGTTCATTCTCCCTTGCAATGACTTGACCCAAAGTAAAACATCTTTTTTTGTTTGTTTGTTTGTTTTTGAGATGGAGTTTTGCTCTTGTTGCCCAGGCTGGAGTGCAATGGTGAGATCTCAGCTCACTGCAACCTCCGCCTCCTGGGTTCAAGCGATTCTCCCACCTCAGCCTCCCGAGTAGCTGGGATTACAGGCATGCGCCACCATGCCCAGCTAATTTTGTATTTTTAGTAGAGACAGGGTTTCTCCATGTTGGTCAGGCTGGTCTTGAACTCCCGACCTCAGGTGATCCACCCACCTCAGCCTCCCAAAGTGCTGGGATTACAGGCGTGAGCCACCGCACTTGGCCAGTAAAACATCTTTAAATGGCGCAAAGTAAAACTTTGTGGAAGATTTTGGTGCACATTGGCTGAAAGACAGATACAAATGGTATTGGGGAAGATTGGCAAGCTTGAATGTGCTGCTTGCTAACCAGAAGTAAGGCATTCTCAGTAGTGAGCTGGGATTGCCCAGGGGAGATAAAGTTAGTCTGGTATGTTCTAGAGAGTTCCACGGACGTCTAATGTGGACACACGACACCCATATGCCTGCCTGTGGGGTAAGTCCTTCGTGAAGGTTAGGTGAGAGAATTCAAGAGGCAGCCAGCCCACCCAATGGCACCTTGAGCTTTCAAGTTCTACTTTGCTTTGGAGAAGAAATTCTACTGTGGTGAGGTATATCCATCCAAGTGACTTTTATCATAAATCTCTGTACACCTGTGGAGGCATTGAAATGGTCTACAGCTGAAATGGCCTTTTCAGCTCAGATCATCCAGGGATAAGGTTTTAATCATCAACCAGACTGCTTCGGCCACTGAGTACATTTTTAGGACCCTGCCTTCTGACTTCAATTCCCCCAGGAAATACAAAGCATTCAAATGTTAGCCCAAGGGTAACATCCTTAAGAAATAAAATCTGCTCTTTTCTCAAAACCTGAGTGCCTTCCAAAGCCAGAATTAAATTTCTATTTGGGTCATCTGTGCACATATTTTGGGGAGACATAAATCATATGCAGCTCTGTTAGAGATCTCAGGGAGTGAGCTGTGTGTTAAGAATAAAAATAAAATTAAGTAACGTGTGCTAATAGATTAGTATGTTTCAAGTACTGAACTAAATGCTTTATACTCACTAGCTCATTTTAATACACCTGCTCTCTAAAAAGTGGCCAGGCACGGTGGTCACGCCTGTAATCCCAGGACTTTGGAAGGCCAAGGTGGGTGGATCACCTGAGGTCAGGAGTTCGAGGCCAGGCACAGTGTCTCACACCTGTAATCCTAGCCCTTTGGGAGGCCGAGGTGGGTGGATCACCTAAGGTCAGGAGTTCGAGACCAGCCTGGCCAACATGGTGAAACCCATCTCTATTAAAAATACAAAAATTAGCTGGGCGTGGTGGTGCATGCCTGTAGTCCAACCTACTTGGGAGGCTGAGGCAGGAGAATCACTTGAACCTGGGAGGCAGAGGTTGCAGTGAGCAGAGATCACGCCACTGAACTCTAGCCTGGGTGCCAAAGTGAGACTTCATATAAAATAAAATAAATATAAAATAAAATAGTCCTGGTGTCTCATTTTCCAGCTGATAAAACAGAGGCTGGGAGGGGTTAAATAACTTACCACACAGTGTGAAGAGTGACAGTGGGAAGCTCACGCTCAGGTCTGGCTGACTCCACAGCCCGCCTTGGTAATGACTTCAGAGGTGACAGACAGCACTGCATATACTTGGTGTATGTTGGCTGTTCCCTTTTTGTCCCAAACCTGTCCTTGGCTTGGAGCTATCCCACACCTAGGTTTCTCCTCCCCTGCTGCCTAGATACTGGCCAGTGCAGGCATCAGCTGGTCCTGGTGGGACCTGCCCCTTTATGATAAAGCCAAAAGAGATCCCAGTAAGCTTTGGGGTCTCTTCTGACTTTATCACAAAGGGGGAGGTCTCTGTGACCTTCTTCACCTGGCTGTATAATGACCATCTGAAGTCGGTGGGGTTGTGGGGAAGAAGGCCTGAGCCAAGGCTTCTTGTGTGTCAGATCCAGGAAGCATTTTATTTCATTTCATTGCCTTTCCCTGGGTCATCTGTTGTAGAGTCTGAGGTGGTGTCTACTCCAGCGCTGTTCCTATTACTCTGTGGGGCTGACAAGATGTTATCCCCCAGCTCCAGGGGCCTTGGCCATCATCCTTGCTAAGACAGTGCCAGTCTCTGGCTCCAGGATTTCAGTCTGGAAAGAGGTGCCTTTGACATTACAGCTGACTCAGGCTAATAACTGGGCAGTTCCTTTGAAAGGCATGCAAGCTTCCTTCCTTAGCCCTGAGATGACACTTCTTGGTATTTCTCCATCAAAACATCTTGTTTCTCCAAACAGGGGGGTTTATAGATTACTTAGACTAGTGGTTAAGCTGCCCAAGGATGACCTGAGAGCAACATGCTGGATCCTTATCACATTATGGGTCACCTCCCAACTCAGAACATTGAGTTCTGACTCCCCAGCTGGCATTAAATGGAAAATAATCCTCTGGACTCTTGGACTCTGTACTTACTGGCTGATTCACAGTCTAGTAAAACCACCTTCTTTCAACTGCCTAGAAATCTAAGTTGGAATTTTTATTATGACGTCATTGTGTATTTAGTAGCTGAGACTCAGGTCCATCCTGGCCCTGCCACGAGCCAACTGAGTGTCCTTAGACCAGTCCCTTGGTCCCTCAGACCCCAAGCTTCCTCCTTGGGAAAGTGTTGAGAATGACTTTTCTAGATGGTCTCTGGGTTGCCTTTAAAATAAGTCATTCCTTGGAATCATGTCTTTTGCAGTAACATGGGTGGAGCTGGAGGCCATTATCCTAACTGAACTCAGAAGCAGAAAATCAAATATCACATGTTCTCATAAATGGGAGCTAAACAATGGGTATGCATGGACATAAAGATGGAAAAAATAGACACTAGGAACCAAAAAACGTGGAGCCAGGCACAGTGACTCATGCCTATAAATCCCAGCACTTTGGGAGTCTGAGGCAGATGGATCACCTGAGGTCAGGAGTTTGAGACTGGCCTGGCCAATGTGGCGAAAGCTTGTCTCTACTAAAAATGCAAAAAAATTAGCTGGGCATGGTGGCACATGCGTGTAGTCCCAGCTACTTGGGAGGCTGAGGCAGGAGAATTACTTGAACCCAGGAGCTGGAGGTTGCAGTGAGCCAAGATTGTGCCACTGTACTTCATCCAGCCTGGGTGACAGAGCGAGGCTATGTCTCAAAAAAGAGGTAGGGGAGGGGGACGTGGGGAGGGGAGGAGTGGGGGTGAGGGTTGAAAAATTACATATTAGGTAAAGTGTTCAATATTTGAATGATAGGTATGCTAGAAGCCCAATCCCCACCATTATGTGTGTAATACCCATGCAACAAACATGCACATGTATCCCCAAATCTGAAATTTTTTTAAAAAGCCGTTATTAATTTTTTTTTTTTTTTTTTGAGACAGGATTTTGCTCTGTTGCCTGGGCTGGAATGTGGTGACAACATCTTGGTGCACTGCAACCTCCGCCTCCCAGGCTCAAGTGATCCTCCCACCTCATCCTCTCAAGTAGCTGGGACTACAGGCACCTGACTAATTTTTGTATTTTTTTGTGGAGATGGAGTCTTGTCATGTTACCTAGGCTGGTCTTGAACTCCTATACTGAAGCGATCCTCCTGCTTCAGCCTCCCAGACTGCTGGGATTATAGGTGTAAGACACCATGCCTGGCCCATTCTTAATTTCGTTGACCAAGTGTTTCTCTTACTGTTTTCGCACTCTCATTGCCAGTGCCCCCTTATTGAGCAGTCTGTGGGCAGAGCGCAATCAAGGGAAAAATACAAGATGCGGGAGAGGAGACAAACCCCCAACTCCCTTGCCCAGGAAGATTATAGTCTCCAGGGTAGAAAGCCTGTAAACACTGTACTAATGATTGTGATGGAGATCTGAACAGAGGGCAGTGGAATCAGAGGGCAAGATTGCCTAAGCCAGGCTCATCAGGCATATCTAGAATATAAACAGATGGCACAGGTGACATGTTTAACTTACACAAGAGAGGTCATGTCTTTGTTAAACATCCAAAAACCTATGGCATGAAGTACCAAGGGTTCTTGCATGTGTCTCTGGTTGGAATTGTTCTAGTTCTGTTGGTTTTGTAGTCAGTTGCCTATGAGCAGAGCAGAATCAAACAGGCTTTGTGCCTCTACCGCCCTGAGTACCTCAGGCACAGTAGTTTTGAAGCAGACACTGATGGGGCTGGAGTGTTTCGTCCAGATCTTTCTGTTCTTTCCCATGTGCCTCCCGGGCTTCCCCAGTGAGGTCATTAGTGTGTCCAGGGTAAGAACTGTATCACAAGCTTCCCACATATCTTCTGTGCTACCACTGTCTTGGTCACACACAGGTCCTTTGTATACCCTTAATGTAGTCAATTAGGACAGGCTCAGCCAAGCTTTATTTATTCTTGGAAACTCTGTGTGTGCAGTTGTTATTGGTGCGGTTTTTATCACATTCAAGTACACACTGTATTTTTTTTTAAAAACATATTCTGGGGCTCATGGATTATCTTAAAGCTGGGCTTCAGCAGCACCAGTGGCAACAGCAACTTGGCCTTGGTATTTTCACTGCTCAGCCTTGTAGTTGATGATGAAATATTTGCGACAAACACGTTTGCCACTCGGTCACTGACAAGCCTGTGGGTTTTGGGGTAGCAAAAGAGCAGAGTGCAGGAAATGATCCAGTGAGTATCTTTTACCTCCCAGAGGAGCAGAAGGCTCAGCCCATCCACTGTGATTATAGTCAGAGCTGGGCTGGATCTGAAGTTGAGTTTAAAATGAAATCATTGCTGAAAGGCGAGTGCTAACCTACTGTGAGGAGTTCTTGTCTATCCAGAGAGCCCCAGTTTGCTGATGGTTGAAAGAAAGGATGAAAGGGAGCCATTTGCGACTTTTGCAGTGTCCGTATGATCCGTGCCACTGTGATGGCCAGAATCTGGGACTGACCACAAAACACAGCCTCACGTTGGGTGCTGTCAGTGAGGGCTGTCTCCCCTCCTCCTTGCCCAGGGACGGGGTGTCTGGAATGTTAGTTTCCTTGCTGCAGTGTGAGTGAAGCAGAGGAACATCGGCATTTTTAGCCTTGTTCTAGCAACCCTGGCCACTTGATCCCAAAGTTAGTTCTTGTCAAGTGTTGGATAAAACAAAGCAACATATTTTTTCTTTTGTTCTTAACATTTTAACTGCAAACATTTAATCAGCAGTTTGACGATGACTGGTTAGAAATTGCCGCATAAGCTCGCCTTGAAGAAGTTATGCTAAGCCACCTCAGGTTTCTCCACTGTGAGGGGTAGATGCCTGGCACCTGGCTGGCACAGGTGTTGGGAATTCTGTGTGTCAGAAGCACTGAGAGCCTGCCATGAAAGGCAGCTGGAAACCTGGGGGGTGGCTGCTCGTGTCATTTCTGATAGGAAAAGGGAAATTGAATTTAAGGAGACCTGCGCATTTCAGAACTATACTTACCACAGTAAAGCCTCCGGGCTACGGCCAGCCAGAATGTGCCCTTCTCTCCCTGCCCATGTCTGCTCAGCGCCGAGGGTGAGCTATGATTGGGGCAGGGGAGGAGGGATGGAGGAGACAGGCACTGGATGCCAGGAGAGGAGAATGGGAACCCAGAACACATCCCTGGAATCAATCTAATTGTTTCCATTCCTCCTCATGAATGATTGGGGCCTGTATTCCCCAGAGCTTTTTAGCTGCCCAATACAGCTTTCCTTTGTCTCAAAAACCTCCCAAAGATGGGCTTCTAAACCTCGGAAAGCCAAGCCCCAGACCCTCAGAGCCCCATGTCAGGATGGCCCCGGACACAGGTTATTTCAAATAGACTCATTTCTCCCCATCAGCTGAAACCAGTCAGCCTGAACTGGGCGTGTTTATTCAGTGAAACCCAGGAACCTCAGTGCCCTGGTTTTAATCAGGAGACTTGCTCTGTGGTAATTTGGGGCTCCTCGACCAAGGGTCTGGTCCCAGTTAGTTTCCAAATGCCAGGCGTGCTTGTTTCCACAGACAGTGTCTGCGCTCACGTGGCCTCATGCAAATGCACTGTCCAGAAGGCAGGCTCGCGCGAGTGCAGGCCTCTTTTTAATATGGAATTTTGAGCCCTTCTGGCGAGGACTTTTCCAGTCTTTGTTTTTTGAAAAGAGGGTAAGATAATCTGCAGCGGCCTTTCTGGGGAAGTCATTTGGAGTGTTGGGTTGGAGCTTGGCAACATGGAAACCATTAGGGCCATCACAGGGGCTGACTGTACCTTGTAAGTGCGGCATCACCCTCAGCCTCTCAGAACAGGGTTAGCCTCATGGACTCTCAGCCTGTGCTGTCACACAGGGCCCCCCACTCAGAAGGGCTCCACACTTGGCTTAATGATCAGCTATCACTGCCTTGAAATTCTTAATTTTTGAACAAGGAGCCTCCCATTTTCATTTTGATCTGGACCCTGAAAATTATCTAGCCAGTCCTTCTAAGAGGATCCAGGCACCAGCATCGGATACCAGGGGGAGGTTGAGCTCTGCCACTCACCAGTCATGAGCCCTTGGTCTGAGGGGACACTGACCTCCTAGCCTCAGTGTCCTCCTCTCAAAAGAGAGCCATCAGCACCTCTCCCTTGCAGCTGTGTGCAGAGAAGAAAAGATCATGCCCCTGTGGCACCTAGCACAGGTGTGTCACATGGTAGGTCCTTAAAACACACACATCTATTTGACTTTTCTAGTCATTCCTTTCTTCATGCAACAAATACTATTGAACATGGACTATGTGCCAAGCGCTGGCTCAGCCTTGGAGTACAGATACCCTAGTAAGAAAAACAGACCTGGTCCCGCCCTCATCGAGGTTAGAGTCTAATCTCTGACCCACTTAGTGAACAGGTTGCAGAAGCCTCTTCTCTGTTTCAGCATATCCGAGAAGAACAGCCTCAAGTCTGGTGAGACCAGCTGCTCTGGAAGATCTCTTGGGCATGCGACATGGCCATCTATCCAGCCTTCCACATGACCCTCGAGGGTTTTGGGGTGCTGGATATCAGGGAATTAAAGCCACCTGCATGGGAGTATCTCAGGTAGTAGTTTCCCTCATCACTCTGTGACCAGCATTAGCCCCTCTCCTTTGCTGTTGTAAATTTGGGGACCTCCAGCCCCCTCGGTTTCCAGAGCATGTTTATCCATTCACCACATAACAGGCAGCACCCACACCCTAGGACCGTGTGGGAGCCAGGTTGTGCCCTCCAACCTGCCCCACCTTGAAGGAGAACTCGGCCTTAACGTCAGCAGTGCTGGGGCAAGTCCCTTGCTGAGGACGGTGGGGAGGGCTTTTACACAGAGAATCTATGATTATAAGGGTGGTAAGAAATACTAGTAATAATAGTTGGACATAGTGAGTGTGTGTTCATCATCAGGCACTGAGTGCTTTACACAGATCCACTTGTTTCTCCGTAGAGTTGCAAAGTCCTATCATAACCTCTATTTTACAGATGAAGAAACTGAGGCAGGTGCGCCCTCCCAGTGGCATCTCTCCCACTTTCGTGGCATGGCTGATATCACCGTCTACATGAAATGTGTATTGTAACAACTCCATCTCTCAGGGCGTTTGAGATATTCTCCGCACATCCTCCTTGTCCAATGGTCTGGGTTACAATGACTGGGCTGTGTATGAGGCCAAAAGAGCTTCTGCTTCTCCGGGGAGCCTGGGCCCCAAGGGGCAGGAGGTGGCACTCTCTGGGGGGCCTGATGGTGGTGCAGGTTGCTGCTGGGGTTGCTGGCTTGCCTTCTCAGCCAGGTGGCTTGTAAGGAGCTACCATACACTTCAAAGAATGTGGTCAGACCACATCCTACCCAGGAGACAGCTGAGGTGCTCGGGAGCCGGCCCAATGGGACACTCCGTCTGTCCGGGAGCCAGCCTTTCAGAGCCAGCACCAGAAGCGGTTGGGGTGTCTGGTCATTCTGTTACTCCTCTTTCCACTGCTAGCTGCTCTCCAGCTGCTGACCTAATTCCAGGGAAGGTTCCAGAAACCCTTGAGCAAGAAAATGCACATGGGCTCCTGTATAAATTGTTCCACTGACAGTGAGCTATTGTTAACTCTTTCAGTTCCTGGACCATTTCTAAATCATGAATATAGATTTAATTTTAGTGCAGGTAGTTTCACTTGCTAAGAAATTGGGTCTTTTCTATTCTTTCTTTTTTCTTTTTTTCTTCTAAGAACATGGATTTTAGAATCATTTAGGCCTGTGTTTCAGGCCCCAGCTCTGCCACTTGCTAGCTTTGTAACCTAACACAAGTTACCCCTTCTGAGGCGATTTCTCCTATAAAATGAGAATAGTAGCCCAGCATAGTGGCACACGCCTGTAATCCCAGCACTTCGGAAGGCTGAGGTGAGAGGCTTGCCTGAGCCCAGGAGGTCAAGGCTGCAGTGAGCCATGATTGCACCCCTGCCCTCCAAACTGGGTGACAGAGTGGGACCCTGTCTCCAAAAAGAGAATAGTAGAACCCAATACACAGCATTGTTCAGAGGAGTGGGCTTATTTTCTCTTAGACCAGCTGAGAGATGAAAGAACAAATGGGAACTCTGAGGATTGCAAACCAATCTGACCCTGGATACAGTTTAGAGAATAAACTTTTTGATTCAGAAATAATAAAGCGCTGAATGCTCTCCTGGGCACAAAAGCCAGAAACTGGGTTCCGAAGCTGCGTATCCCTGTCAAGCCCTGCGGAATGGCCAGCAATGTGCTTTCATCTTGTTTATCCCTTATAATCCTCAAGGTGACCCCCTACAGCAGTCACCACCCCCGGTTTATAGTGCAGAAAACTCGCCCAATTTGAGCCTGAATCTTCTGGCCCTAAGTCCAACATCACTTGCCTCGTAGAGACCCTCTGAAATGAATGAACAAGGTGTGTTTTCCTGGGATTCCAGTGTTTAATTAAAAAGGGACCATTTAGGGGTATCTGGAGATGCTGTGTCAGGTTGAAGATGCCTTTCCAGGCAGAACCACCTGCTTGTTCCATTGGCTTTCTCTTTTTCTTTTTCTTTTTCTTTTTTTTTTTTTTTGAGATGGAGTCTTGCTCTGTCGCCCAGGCTGGAGTGCAATGGCACAAACTCAGCCCACTGCAACCTCCACCTCCTGGGTTCAAGCAATTCTCCTGCCTTAGCCTCCTGAGTAGCTTGGATTACAGGCGTGCGCCACCATGACCTGCAAATTTTTGTATTTTTAGTAGACACGGGGTTTCACCATGTTGGCCAGGCTGGTCTCCAACTCCTGACCTCAGGTGCTCCGCCCACCTTGGCCTCCCAAAGTGCTGGGATTACAGGTGTGAGCCACCATGCCCGGCCCCCATTGGCTTTCTCTGAATGAACGGGTCATTAGAAGTCCTGCTCCAGCAGAGTAGTAGTTGATTGCTCACTTGTAGCACCTGTTCCATCCTTTACTGTAGGGTTTATCTCAAAAGAGAAAAGTGTAATAATTACCCTAGGAAAGAATACTAGTAACTGGGGCTGGGCTTAAATAAGTGCCTCCCAGTATAAATGGACACCTTCTTTTCAAAAAAGATTTTATACTCGGCCTGGAGAACAACCTCAGCTTATCTCTGAAAGTATTATGTGTTCTCTCTCTCCCTCTCTCTCAAAATATTAGCAGCGGCTTCAGAATTTCTATTTACGTGAGGCGCTCTGCCTTAATCTGGTTCCGAGAGTGGCCGAGGGACTTGTTTGAAGCACCCTTTGCACTGCAAGATGAGATGTTTTTAGAGTGAGCTTATTTGGATTGGTTTGGAGCTGAGGGTAATGATGAGGACAGCTGAGGCCTATCCCAGCCACTCTGGTGTTCTCAGGACTAAATATCACCTTCAGTATTTTTAGATTTCTTGCCAGCAGATAAATTTAGAAGCACTTGCAATGTGCTTTTCTGGGTCTGCAGCATGGAAGTGTTAAGTTCCTGTCCAGCTTCACCTCACAGGTGGCAGCTCTTAGGAGGTCAGACAGCCCTTCCGGGGCCTGACAAGCCAGGGTGTGCATGAGGTCTGTCAGGGTCCCCTGGAACGAGATGCAGCATCCTGGAGCCAGTGAAAGCTAGAGCTCTGAGGAGCCGCCTCTTCTCCCAAGGCCAAGAAGGTCAGAAACTGAAGGCAGTGGAAGGGGTCAGGCTGTGCATACAGCCCCTTTGACATGGAGAAACGGCATCTCTCTGTGGTTTCCTCAGGACCAGCACAAGTCTGACTGGTATCCTCCATCAGGACCTTGGCTGAAGAGAGGGACCACCGGGGAAATTGCTTCCCTTCCAAAAACAGCACAAATGCACACATTTGCTCTCACAGCTGTTTTTGAGTGTGTCGTGTGGGGAGCTGTGCAAGGGACTAAGGATATGAGATGCAGGTGACCATCAGTGGATTAATGAAGGAGACGCACATTAAAGAGCATAACCTCCATGCAGTCCACCCACGGAGGAGAGCCATGTTCCTTCTTAAACAGGGGTCCGTGACCCAGTTGGGTAGGAGGACTTGACTAGCAGAGGGAGGGTGCTGGGGGGTGAGGGAGGTGCAAGGAAAGGGAACAGCATGTGTGAGGGGCCCTGAGGCTGAAAAGAACAGGAACTTAAAGGCTGGAGGGATGCAGCGGAGGTTGATGTGGTCAGAACTGTGCTCTGAAAGGAGGGCTTGCTCTGGCTGGAGGGATAGGTGTGTGAGGAGGAAACCCACAAGGGCACCATGGAGTACTTCAGGGGAGAGGCAAGGCAAGCTTGGGGACGTGAGGGTGGCGGTAGAGAGAAGCAGCAGTGACAGATTTGGAAGTTGATTCGAAACTCAGAGGGTTGCAGGGAGGGGTAGGTGAATCGGGACTCACATTTCTGGCACTCACAGCAGGGTAGATGCTGGAGCTTTAATTGAGAGAGGGAGAGACACAGGACAGGGGCCAAGTTTAGGGTATCTGTGGAATAATAAAGTGGTAAAGTGAAAATGGGATAATGGATCTGAAGATAAGGATTTGAAAGTCATCTGCATATGGATGAGGGATTACTTCTCGAGCCCTTCCTGGGCTCTCAGTGCTTTCCTCCCTGAGCTCCTGTCATTGATGAGCAGGAGACATACATACTGTGCTCCTCCCCCTTTTAGATGCAGGGCGATTGCTCAATGTAATAGAAGTTACTATCACTGTTACTCAATGTCAAGGTCAAGCCCAAGTGATCGCTAGGCCGCTGTCAGGAGTGATCCGGGTTTCCTGACACCTGAAGTTAATACAGTTAAGGAAAAGAATCCAAAATTACAAATGCACAATGAGATATAAAAGTGAATATTTATTTAAAATGAGAAAAATTTGTTAAAGC
Organism: Homo sapiens; assembly: GCF_000001405.40. Lineage (NCBI taxonomy): Eukaryota > Metazoa > Chordata > Mammalia > Primates > Hominidae > Homo > Homo sapiens. Next base: position 34,309,871 of record NC_000011.10, on the reverse strand, counting down.
TGACACACATATCACAAATCAATAACTTTAACTGCCTGACACACCTTGACAATACTGTTTTTCCCCATCTTTTTTTTTTTGACTCTGATCACCTCTTCCTATGACAATGATTCTGTACTGTTTTCTAAAGGAACAATTGAGACTTCCCTTTAAAATAGTTAACCAAAAGTTTGTTTTTCTTTTCTCCAATGGTTTTGAAAATTTTTTTTTTTAACTTCATAACTCATTATTGGTGATGTCAAGTATTAGGATTGTTGTCAAATTTGGGGAAATCGTGGCCACGTTTCTTTCATTTCTGAGCAGTGAGATTTGGAAGAACTTTCCACAAGCCTAGCTTCTGACTCTGTCCGTCATGAGTTTCGTTTCTCCTCTGCTCCCAGCACTGCCTCTGGTGTTGAGCACGGTAATGCCCGTTCATATCTTGATATAACCTCTGACCTGCACCCTTGTGTCATAACACATTTTGCAATAGGAGTCCTTCTGGAAGTCATTGGCATAAGGGATTGTTAGTGATGTATTAACTCTAAGTGGATGTGACTGCTAACCACTGAACCCAGCTGACTGTATCCCCAACTCAATTTCCTTCAACAAGGTCCCCAAAATGCCCACCCAATGCATGGGAACATGTGGTCAGTTGCAGTGGAAAGAGACAATGGTATCAACTGACAGTGGCTAATCTTACTTTGGCAAAAAAACACACGTCCATGTGAACACATTGCCAGGCCCCCTCCAGAAGTTTTGGAAGCAACCTGTATAAGTAGAGGCTGCCTGAAGTTTACGCTTCTTTGGCTTCGTAGTAAATCTGCCTCTGCTGAAATCTCAGCCTATCAGACCATAGAGGCATTCAGGATTGCAGCACATTCATGCCTTGTAAGTGCCAAAACATTGTCATTGCAATAAAATTTTAATTCTTCGAGACCAAAGCATTTGAAAAGCATTTCACACAGTTTCCTGTTTTCTTTGCTTTTCTTTCTTTCTCTTTTCTTTTTTTTTTTTTTTTTTTGAGACAGTTTCCTCTCATTGCCCAAGCTGGAGTGCAATGGCATGATCTCAGCTCACTGCAACTTCCACCTCTTGGGTTCAAGCAATTCTCCTGCCTTAACCTCCTGAGTAGCTGGGAATACAGGCGCCTGCCACCCACGCCCAGCTAATTTTTGTATTTTTAGTGCAGACAGGGTTTCACCATGTTGGCCAGGCTGGTCTTGAACTCCTGACCTCAGGTGATCCACCCGCCTCGGCTTCTCAAAGTACTGGGATTACAGGTGTGAGCCATTGCACCTGGCCAGTTTCCTGTTTTCTTAAACAGTGAGTGAGCTGCATAGATGTGACTATGTTCTTGATGACTCAAGATCCATGAGTATTCTTACAGTGCTTGTGCCCTCAGGGAGTGACCCCAAGATGTGATCGAATGTTGGTCCCAATATTAAATGGCCCCACACTGCAGTCTTAAGTTTTTATGCCTGCTTTTTGTGTTGTAAATGTTTAAGCCCTTCTAATGCTGTTAGCTGTCATTTCTTGCTGCTTTAAACAAGCTGTGGCCTGAGAAATAAAATCAGCCATCTTCTTTCAGTCAGTAGGCTGTTTTGAGGACTTGTTATGTGTCAGGTGATGGGCTGGAAATTTACATATAGTAGCAATGACTAATAATCACAAACATCCATTGCATGCTTGCCCTGTATCCTGTATTCCAAGCTCATCACATGTGTCCACACATGTAATCCTCACAGTAACCTAGGAGGTCGGAGCTACTGTTGTTATCCCCGTTTTGCAGATGAGGAGGCCCAGACACAGAGAAGTGAAGTAACTTGCCCAAAGGGTCCTGATTCCAAAAAATCCACCTTTTGATTCCATCATGCTGTGACTTAGAGAGTCATCTAGCTGGGTGCAGTGGCTCACGCCTGTAATCCCAGCACTTTGGGAGGCCAAGGCAGGCAGTCACGAGGTCAGGAGTTCGAGACCAGCCTGACCAACATGGTGAAACCCTGTCTCTACTAAAAATACAAAAATTAGCTGGGCATGGTGGCGCGTGCCTGTGATCCCAGCTATGTGGGAGGCTGAGGCAGGAGAATCGCTTAAACCCGGGAGACGGAGGTTGCGGTGAGCCGAGATCGCACCACTGCACTCCAGCCTGGGCGACAGAGCGAGACTCCGTCTCAAAAAAAAAAAAAAACAGAGAGTCACCTAACTATGAGGCCAGACTCAAACCATTAACATAAGAATCAGACCAAGAGAGCACAATCTGTGTCCCCAGGGAAATTACACTTTGGAAAATGTGTGAAAGGAAAGAATTTGTAGTGCCCTCTCTCGGAGAGCCATGAACAGGGTCTATGGCGTTTCTGTTGACTGCTCAAACTCTTTCCTTCATTTCCTGCTCATTGGCTGCATTCTGGATGGTGGAGACTGCTGAAGAGCTCAGTGCTGGGGGTGTGAGCTGTTCTCCAAGCATTTTAGGATGTAGTGGTAATACAGGTTATGCATATGAGGAGGTGGGGGAAGATGTAGGGATAAACATGTGATCTCGTTGAGAGAATGTGGCTGGTCACTTCTCAGTTCTGATCTCACAGGTGTTTTAGAGAAGTGACCTAATTGTGCTGGACTCCTCCTTTTTGTGACCTAGCAACCTGTTACCTTCAGGGAGCACTAGGAGCATTGGTTGCTGTTGAACAGTTCTCACAATACCAGGATGGAGGGCTCTCACCCACAGAAGCACAGGCCTGCAGGAGCCTAGGTGACTTGGGTTGTCCTTATGACTTAGGATACCAGGATCTAACAGACGAATTCATTCAGGGAGACATGCAGGGAAGTGTACCCTACACGCAGTGGCCCTTTACTGAGTCTTCTTAAAGTTCGTCTGCTTTTTTTCTTTCTTTTTTTTTTTTTTTTTTTTTTAAGTTTCCTGACATGGTGCTAGCTGTCATTGCTTGCTATGGCTGGAAAACTAGTAAGCAAGCTTCACTTCAGTCCAGAGGCGTCTTTAAGTACCTGCTATGTGCTGAACTCATCAGAACTTTCACACAGCAGAATTTCCCAAATAACTTCTTTGAAGAATTCTATAAAGTAATATTTGTCTATAAAAAGGAAAAGATAACTAAAGAAAGTGGTGTACCTTCCAATCTTTCTTTTCTCGGTTTTACTTATTTTTTTTTTAGAGACAGGGTCTCACTGTGTCACCCAGGCTGGAGTGCAGTGGTGCAGTCATGGCTCACTGCAGCCTCACACTCCTGGGCTCAAGCCATCCTCCCACCTCAGCCTCCTCAGTAGCTGGGACTACAGGCACACACCACCACATCCAGCTTGGAATGTCTTTTTAAAAAACAGCTTTCCAGTCTGGGCGCAGTGGCTCACGCCTGTAATCATAGCACTTTGGGAGCTTGAGGCAGGCAGATCAGCTGAGGTCAGGAGTTCGAGACCATCCTGGCCAACATGGTGAAACCCCACCTCTACTAAAAATACAAAAATTAACCAGGTGTGGTGGTGCACGCCTGTAATCCCAGTTACTCAGGAGGCTGAGGCAGGAGAATCCCTGGAACCTGGGAAGCAGAGGTTGCAGTGAGCCGAGATTGTGCCACTGCACTCCAGCCTAGATGACAGAGAAGACTCCGTCTCAAAAAAAAAAAAAAAAAAAAAAAAAAAAATCAAACTTTCCAGGCAGCTAGTGGGAGCCATTTGCTTCAAGCTTTGTCCTCCCCTGTTGGGTCTACAATGTTGTATAAGGAGAAAATTAGTTTAGAGTCATGGTGCTGAGACCTGTAAATACCTAACTGTATTCTTAGAGAATGTGACTGTTAACTTCCTGTTCTTAGAGAATAGACTTTGGTATGTTTTAGAATTATTTTTTTATACGAACAAATGAATCCAAATTGTATCATTTTATTTAGTTGAGGTTTTGCTGACTCTTAATATTAAGAGTGAATATAATGATGTGGATTGATATTAGATAACATTACTGTGTCAGTATTAACTTTCTTGAGAATGGCAATGTGATATAGAAGAATGTCTTTTGTCTTAGGTGATACATGTTGAAATAGTGATAGAGGAAGCCATGTGTTTGCAACTTTCAAATTGTTCAGAAAATAAAAGATGTTAACAATTGGTGAGTCTAGGTAAAGGGTATATGAGTATTTATTGCACTATCCTTTCTATTTCTCTAAGTTTGAACATGTTCAGAATGAAGGTTTAGAGGGAGGAAAAAGTAAAATTCTACTCCCTTGTCCTCTCCTGTCTCTCTGAAGGTGGAAATCATCATGAATGAAATATATTAAGATATCAGATCTTTTGCCTCTGGTTCCCTTACTCCACACATTTCCTGTCAAGCTCCAAAGCCACCAGTGGAATGTTTATACAACGTGCAAGATGATTTTCTGCTAGGAAGGCGAAACCTCAATAATCGCCCCGTTGACTGGCTATTTCAGTTTGTTGGGAGGCCCATGTGGTGTTACTGCCCCTCTGGTGATGCTTCATGCATAGTGAATGTTTCAAACTGCAAGATTTTCCTCTTTGAGGAGAGAAGTGTGCCAGGTATCAGAGCGAATGTGTGCATGCGGGAGCAAGCCTGTCCTGTAAAACCATCGCTGTTTACACACTTAGGAAACTAACACTGCCAAGAATGAGCATATGGCATGCACAAGGTCTCTCAGGCATGTGTTGGTGGTTTAGTGTGGAGACCTAGCTTAATGTTTTGATTTAAACCTGGGGATGCAAGAGCCTCTTCTAGATCAAGTGTACTTATGTGGGGTCTTCATTCAGAGCCCATGTTTTCTTTAGCCTGAGATGTGTGCCCTGATGTGGAAGCTGCTTGTCCACATAGAAGCAGACACTGCTCTGAGGAGTATTACCTTGCTTAGGTATTAGGCTTGGATGTCAGCACAAATTGCATGTGGCCAAAATAACTCCTGAAAACACTTTGAGTGGTCCATGAATTACACTGACAGGCACCTGGGAACTGAGACTGGCAGAGGAAACACACATTCACTCTGGGTCTATGCCCTTGGAAGAGAGTGGCAGCCAAAACTCCTACACCATGTCAGCCAGGGCCTCTGTGGCTTTTGGGTGGTGAAGAGCCCTCTGCAGTGGACTGCCCGAGTTTGAATCCTGGCCCCACCACTCTTACCTATATGTCCATGGACAAACTATTTGACTCCTCTTAGTCTCTTTCCCTCCCCTCCCTTCCCCTCCATTTCCCTCCTCTCCTTCTCCTAGTCTTCTCTTTCTTTTCTCATGTGGTTTGTCTCCCCATATTGCCCAGGCTGGTCTCAAACTCCTGGGCTCAAGTGATCCACCTATCTTGGCTTCCTGAAGTGTTGGATTACAGGCGTGAGCCCCTATGCCTAGCCTCTGTGTCTGTTTTCATCTGTGAAATGTGAATGATACTTACCTCATGGGTTATTAGGAAGATTAAATCCATTCATTTGTAGGAAGCACTTGTGACAGTATTGGCACATAATTACTTTAATACAATAACTGCCAGGTGCAATGGCTTACACCTGTAATCCCAGCCCTTAGGGAGGCAGAGGCCGGAGAATAGCTTGAGCTCAGGAGTTCAAGGCCTGCCTGGGCAATATAGTGAGATCCTGTTCTCCATAAAAAGAAAAAATAAAGACAAAAAGAATACAATAATCTTTTATCCACAGAGCATATGTTGGACCTCTGATGGATGCCTGAAACTGCGATAGGACTGAGCTCTAGATATACCATGTTTTTTCCTATACACCAATGGGCAGATAGCATATACAGCATGGACCAGCTGGACAAAGGGATGATTCCGTCCTCAGCACCACAGAGCCGGACTGGGCAATATTTCATCATGCTACTCAGAGCGGCACTCGATTTAAAACTTAGGAATTGTTTATTTCTGTATATTTCCCATTTAATATTTCCAGACCATAGTTGACCTCAGGTAACTGAAACCAGAGAAAGTACCCATAGCTGAGGCCAGGCGTGGTGGCTTACACCTGTAATCCCAGCATTTTTGGAGGCCGAGACGGGTGGATTACCTGAGGTCAGAAGTTCGAGACCAGCCTGGCCAACATGGTGAAATCCCGTCTCTACTAAAAATACAAAAATTAGCTGGGCGAGGAGGCACACATCTGTAATCCCAACTACTCGGGAAGCTGAGGCAGGAAAATTGCTTGATCCCAGGAGACAGAGGCTGCAGTGAGCTGAGATCACGCCACTGCACTCCAGCCTGGCCTACAGAGCGAGACTCTGTCTCAAAAAAAAAAAAAAAAAAAAAAAAGCACCCATAGTTCTTTGTAGATAGGGGGACAGCTGTATAAGCATTTATTACTATTTTTTTTCATTTAAGTTAAATGCATTCAAAGTGTGGCTAACCTATAAAGGGTAAAAAGTGTGCATTAGAATTGGCAGTTAAAGAAAGAAAAATTGGATTTCTTCCTCCTGTGGGTGGAAACCTCTACGTGATGCTGCTCTTGTATTCCTTGCAATTGATTAAGAGTGCCTTAGATGTGGGAAAGCTGTTTCTGATCCTCTTATCAGAGTGTAAAGTAAAACATGCTTGACTGGTTAATAAAAACGGAAGACAGTTAGAAAACATTTGTAGGCTGTGCGATGGAGTGGTCCAGAATTGCAGCCAGTAGTTGGTGGGCTGGCCTGTGGCTGCTCTAGGAAGTGCTCAGCACAGGAAGTGACCTTTATATTTCTTCCTAGCCTTACTGTGGCTCTGTCTCTTGACCAATGAAGTGAGCTGACTACTGCCATCTTCCTAAGTACCATAAATCCAACAGCACCGTGGCAAGTGGGAGATGCTAATTGTGTGGTCTATTTGGTTCCTACCTGAGAAAGTGTTCTGTGGCCTCTGCCTAAAATCAAAGGCCTGAAGACAGGAATGTTGAGAAGGAAAGCCATCAGGAATCAATCTGCCAGAGCCAGGAAATTGGGCTGGAGGTGTCTTATCAGGTCCTTATCTTAACGCTGCCCTCCCAGTGAAGCACCAACTACCCTAGATAGAGGTTCCCATTTATAACTGGGGACTTTGCAGCCCCAGACTCCTGAGTAGCTCCCAATCCCCTGGTGAATCTGGGTAATGAACTAAACTGCTAGGAATGCCCCAGCTTCCCTTCTGACTGGGCCTTTGATTATGTCACCTAAGCCTACTACCCCTCGCAAGCGCTAAAGAGGTTGTGGTCTGGAGGGAGTGAGGCTCCTTAGCCTTAGCTGATCACAGGAACATCTTTTTTTGCTTGCTGCCCTTGAGGTATTTTTTAAAGCCACAAACACTGACTCATTCAAGGGCCACAGCCTCAATGACCAACAAACTGTTGAGAGAAATAGCAGGCCCAGGTCAACCCTTGATTTCAGGTCTTGGCAGTGTTTCTGGCTGCAGCCTGAGCCCCTCTGTGGTCTGGGGAATGAGCAGGCCTTCTCATACCAGAGGCTCAGGGCAAGAATTCCTGCTCTCAAGTTTCCCAAGTAGAGTATTCCTTGATGA